>NT_187382.1:0-300000 GCF_000001405.40 Homo sapiens
GAATTCAATAAATGTTTTAATGAGAGTTTTCTAAGCACCAGATGCTGTATCAGGTACTAGGGATGACTATGAAATGACTCAGCTCCCAACAACTTTATAATAGGGCTTAAGCAGTGTCATAACTAATACAATCCTAATAAAAGCATGCTGTGTGTTCAGACCTAAAAGCTTGCTGTGTGTGTGCATTTAGGTAAACAGTTTCATCTCTCTGGACCCTAGCTCCTCTCTGTAAAATGAAGGAGTTGAATTCAATGATATATTCTATTATATAACACCATAAAAACACTTTACCATATGGTGTGCTGGTCCTGGACCTGTTTGCACTCAGATCCATCCTTCTGCTCTGCCTTGTTCTGGGGTGAAGAAGTTGATCCTCGGCAGGGTGACTTTTTCAGGCTCTAGAGAATTTCTGAAAGGACTGAGTCAACGGGCAGCAGGAATATATCAACCATGGAAAATTAGAGAGCAGGGTGAGGAGCGGTTTTTGGGGGAGGGAGCTATCAAGACACTCCCTCCTGTTTTCAGCCTAAGGTGGCCTCTCCAGTGGCTTTATCTTCTCTGTGACTCCAGCCCCCATTGTATCAAGGCCACCAGAGATCCAGTCTCCCAGAGTGGTCCTCTTGGTGCCAGTAATTCCATGTTTTCCTTTTGTCTCTCCAGCCCAAGAATGATAAAGACTTCCTGCTATCGTCAATCTCCCAGGATTATTTTAGAGCCCTCTGTTTAATTCTCAGCCTCTCCACTCTTCATGGACCCACCACTGCTTTCCATTCCTTCTGCTGTGAACATTTGAGATGATTTCTGCTTTCTTGGTTAATCTATGGCTAACCACAGTGTTCACCTCTACTTTATTTTATAATTGAGGAAGGAAAATATGAGCATAGATACATTAAAGGAGCAGACCCAAACTAGCTCCTTGTATCCAAACAAAATGAAAGAAGGTTGTATCCAAACCTTCTTTTGATGCTGGTATCTATTTTTTGGTACTTAGATACCAGCATCAAAGGAAGGTTTGTTTTATGCTTATTCTCATGGCCCAATAATGAGATGCAGATGAACTGGATAGAAGGGAGTTTATTTATATAACTAGGTACAGAGAGAAGGCTGGGAAATATTGCCAGACCAACTCAAAATTATAAAGTTTTCCAGAGCTTATACACCTTCTAAGCTATATGTCTATGTGTAAGTATGTAAGTGTGCATTCATCTAAAGACATAAGTAATAAACTTTTTTTTTTTTTTTCTTGAGACGGAGTTTTGCTCTTGTTGCCCAGGCTGGAGTGCAATGGTGCGATCTCGGCTCACTGCAACCTCTGCCTCCTGGGTTCAAGTGATTCTCTTGCCTCAGCCTTCCAAGTAGCTGGGATTACAGGTGTGCACCACCATGCCAGGCTAATTTTGTATTTTTAGTAGAGATGGGGTTTCTCCATGTTGGTCAGGCTGGTCTCAAACTCCCGACCTCAGGTGATCCACCTGCCTCGGCCTTCCAAAGTGTTGGGATTATAGGTGTGAGCCACCCCATCCGGCCAAGTAATCAACTTCTAACCTATAACTAAAATCTGAGTACTGAAGACCTTCCTCTGGAGCCTTAGTAAATTTTCTTAATCTAAATGGGTCCAGGTGCCAGGGTGATTACCCTTATCTTGTCTCCTGCTAAATCATGGAGGTTCCTTTAGTCCCCAGTAAAGCTTGTTTGTGGAGGTCTAGGGAGTTCCTTTAGACCCCCAATAAAACTTGTTTAATCCTAAATGGGTCCTGTTAGGAATTCCTTTGTTATCTTGTCATACTTCAAGGCCCAGGGAAGACCTAGGCAAAACTCTTGGTGGGTTTTGTTACATTCCAGCCTTTGTATGAGGACATTGGCCCCATCAGTTTTTAATATTTATCTTAACCACTCAGTCAGTGCTGAAACAGTTGTCATGGAGGCCTGCTTATTCAGCTGTTAGTGAGACCTGGCCTGCCACACTTTCAGTCAACTATTGAAGGACACACAAGATTCTCTTTTATTATTATTATTATTATTATTATTATTATTATTATTATTATTAAAGCTGCCATGTTGAATCTCTTGAAAGTTAAGGCCCATGTAAATCGAGGTGGGGGAAACCTTTAGTGAACTACATCACTCTGTGTGCTTCCTGGTTCTTAGGACAGATGACTTTATTACAGCCTCTGAATCTATCAAATGTGTCCATTTTTCACCAGGAATGTTAATTAAAAATAAAATTATAGTGATAAATGTATTAGCAACCTAAAGTTTGGTAAGAGAAAGATATGTAAAAAACCTCTTTTTTAAAGACGAGGCTTAGGCATCCTGCTTCTTCTCCAACTCTTTTATCTCCATTTCCTTTAGGTTGGTAAGATACTTTCTTTATTTCTAGCAATTTCACCAGAGAGGTCAACAATCAAACTTACGGTGGTTTTACTTTAAAATGATAGGTAGGCAAACTTGTGGAGATACTCTTTTATTTAATTTATTCATTAAAAAAAGAGGTGGGATGAAAATCCACCCATTCCCACTACCCCTTACTTTGGGTATGGGTGCGAGAGAGGAGAAGTTCATGGTGATTGGGTGACAAGGAAAGTGATAGTACCATTGCTGATACAGGGAGAGTCCCAGAGAGAGAAACTAGCTGGAGGTTAGAGTATTACTTTCCTGTGGTAGGTGGCTTAAAACAGACATTTAGTGGATAAAACAACACACATTTATTTACTCACAGTTCCAGAGGCCAGAGTCTGAAATCAACATCACTGGCTTAAAATCAAGGTGACAGCAGGGCTGTCTCCCCTCTGGAGGTTCCGGGGGAGAATCTGTTCCTGACCTCTTCCGGGTGTCTGGTGGCTGCCAGCATTCCTTGCCTTGTGACCACATCGCTTCAATCTCTGCTTCTATGGTCACACTGATTTTTTCCTGTTCTTTGATGAAGTTTCCTTCTCAATCCCTCTTATAAAGAGACTTGAAATTGCATTTAGGGCCCACCTGGATAATCCCCAGGAAAATCTCCCTGTCTCAAGATTCTTAGTCACATCTGCATAGTCCCTTTTGCTATGTAAAGTAACATTCACAGGTTCCAGGGCTTAGAATGGGGACATCTTTGGAGGCCTTTATTCAGCCTACTACAGTCAGATAAAGCACACAGAAAAGCTGGTGTGGGTTTTATTTGTATGTTGTCTCTGAGTGTTTTCAAGGTTAAGATCTTTCAAGGACTAAAGAATATTGGTTAATTCCTAACATCCTGAGCTATACAATTAGTGTAGAAAGAATACGCCCTTTTGGGGTGGATGAGTCAAAATACTCACACTTTATTAAAACCATTATAGTGAATTTTACTGTTTGTTCTGTGGATGTTACAGAAAAAGGCATATTCTCTGTATAGTGTAAAGCTTAGTCATGCCTATTAAAGATATTTTGTCATTCCGGAAATTCTGTTTTATCTCCTAGATGTATGTTACAGTTATGTTAAAGTTTTATGTAAAGTTTCCTTTCCTTCCTAACAGTTTTTATTTTATGTATTTCCTCAGTGTATGGATTGTTTGTGATGCTTATGTTTGCACTGTGCATTGTAACTTTTACAGGTGTATAATAATCATTTTATCCATTTCATATTTTTTGCCATGATACATGATGCTGTGTCTGATTCTAATATTTCTACCTGTCTATTCCTCTAAATTTTCTATGTTCCTTTTGACCAGGGAAACTTTTGAATCCCTTTATTTTCAACATTTCTTTGTCAATTCGTTTATACATGTGCTTCTTATAATTAGTAAATTTAGATTTTTACCTTTTGATATAAGCTGATTTTATTTGCCTTTTTTTGTTATCTTTTAAGCCATTTATATTCACTATGCCAAGTCAGGTATAGTCTTATTTTGCCATTTTATTTTATTCTTTGTGGTTTATACTTACTGTTTTCTTCTTCCCTATACATTATATGTCATTGTAGCTCCTCTTTCTTCCTATTATTTTTTCTACAAATTTTATTCTATATTCCCATTTGTAGAATGCACATTTTTGTTCTACAGTTATATATATATTCACATATGCACATTATATGTATATAAAAATATACATATACACAGAGATTAGCATATATATGTAATTTTCAACCAATTATAAGAATGGAAGACTATTACTGGTTCTCCTATATAAGAGACTTATCACACTTTTACTTTCCTCTTCTCTACTCCTGCTCAACATGTATTAATTAATTAGTTTTTTAGGTCAAATTCCTGGTATTAAAAATATTATTTTTTATTTTATTTTCTTTCCCAAGAAATATATTTGATACAAGAATTATGTAACATATTGATGTTAAAAACTAGTAATTATTTATTAATGTGAATTTTAATGGATGCAGTACACATAATCAATTTTTAATATCATATTACCTCTTGAGATGTAACAGTTTTATTTATTCTTTTAGTCAGCTGTGGTATTTTCTCAAGTATCAAAGAATTATTTCCCCCATGAATGGTAAATGGATACTTGCATTTTCTGATTTCCTCTCACTTGACTAAAAGTTTGGTTGCCTGCAGAATTTTTTAATCTGAATTCGCTGATGGATACCTGGGTTGCTTCTACTTTTTAACTATTCTGAATAATGCTGCTGTGACAGTCATTTAAAAATATAAAAAAAATTAAGCATTTTTTTGGGGACTGAGATATGCTTAAGATAAATTAACCATCATAGGAGAACATAAAACATAAATATCTAAGGGTGAACTAGAACCCAAAGGCCTAGTCTGGGTCATAGGATATTATGGAATGAAAGAATAACCCATACTGATGAAAATGTCACTTACCAAGATGATGATCTTACAGTGTAGGAACAGCAATTGTTTAGCTACAAAATGTGTGGTAATCATGACTTGCAGAAATAAGACTGGTAAAGTCTCCCAGAAACTTTCAGGATTCCTAAAACCAGTCCTTTGTCCAAAAGTCATCTTCATAGTAGTGGCCATATCCTGAATGAAGTTACTCAGTTCTTAAGAGCATACTGTCTAGGTCTGAAGAAGAATACGGAGAGTGAAGGCAGATTCATGGACCAAGGAAGATATTCACAAATAGAACATACAATGGGGGATGAAATGATTTTAAGGAGAAATGACAATGACAATGACAGTGGTATGTAGTATGTAGGGGGGCCATTGCTTTCAATCTTGGAAGATGAGTTCAAGTTTTGATTGCATCAAAATGGAGTCACACTGAAGTTCTCAGGTAGAATTAGCCATACATCCTTTGCTTCTGGGTTTCTGAGATATTGGTGACAAAACTGAAACTAAGAACAGATCTATTGTCAACTATGATTGTCTTGCCTCCTTTTTTTCTCTGATCTTGTTTACTGCCTGAGTTTCCCTTCACATTTTACCACCACAACTAAGCAGGGACCTTATTTATTAAGGGTACATTCTTGCATATTTCTGCTTTAACATAGCATTAGTTAGTTCAGTATCGTATGAGTGAATTTGGGGGAGAAGTAACCAGTGTCTGTATCTGCTACAGACAATGAGAAGATTGTCTTACTGCAATATTTTAGGCATCTGCCTTGACTTCGAATGAACGTTCCTGTCCATACCCTAAAGGAGAAAAGAGTTGCACTCATATTATTAAATATCCTCTAGATTTTAGCGAATATATGGACTACTTTTTTTAAGCAAATCTGTAAGGGCAGTTGTCATTGTGGAGAACTGTGGGTTTAGTTAGTCTCCCTTAATAATACAAATGGAGAAAATTTAGTTGAGAACATTGTTGAATTTTTAGTGGTCCAGCGATATCTCTTTGTGGAGAGAGCATTTGCTTTATTAAATCTCCATTAGATAAACTCACATTTTTATAGGAGTGTTAAGAGAAAATCTCTCCAAGTGTTTAAGCCTGGGAAAATGAGAGAGAGGAAATACAGAACGAGGTCATGTGAACCGTCAATTGTGAATAAGAGGAAAAGTCAGAACCAAAGAAAAGCCCTTAGTGTGCAGAAGAGGTAGAGATTGAAAATGAGCTGTCAAAAAGAAATGCGGGGGATAAGCTAGAATAAAACACCTAAAGAATAAATTTCAAGGAAAAAGAGGAACATTAATAGGGCTAAATTTGATTAAACTTGACTGAGATAAAGGGAGAGAGAAAGGTGGTTTGATTTGGGGATTAGGTTATTAGTGACAATCTTCATAAGCAGGTTTCAAACGACTTGTAGTAGTAGAAACTGGGATGAAGGGAACTGTAGTAATTTAGGAAGGACAGGTAGAGTATCAGTATCTTTGAAAAGTTTGCAGGTGATGAGATCAATGAGAATAAATGATAACTTAATGGGGTGTCACAAAATCACCTTAAGTTGGCTGGTGAAGACTTGGGCAGTTTTTAGGAACAGATTATATTAATATTAAAAATAGGAAAAAAGAGCAAAGAAATATATTAGGACTTCTAGCTACATGGTAAACAATAAACTCTGGTTTTACTAAATATATTTGACACATATTATAGAATTTTCCTTGCAAATGTTGTTACAAATTATATGATATTTCCTCTTTTCCAATTTTCCTCTTACAAGGTAAATTCACCTAATCTTTATTATGATATATTTGTAAGGGGAATTGAATTATAAGCTTTCTCAGGTTAAAATAAGGACAAAACAAAAATTTTCTGATAAAATTTTCTTGCAGTATGCCACCATTTGCCAAAGGAAGTCAGCCATTGTAGCCTTTTCTGTAATCTTAAGTTTTTTGGACAGATATCTATTGTGCAAACTAAAATTTAGTTCTAATTCCATTCATATTAGATATATTTATTTAATACAGTATTCCGCTTAATACAGACTTTATAAATAGAATCACATTTTATTTTTAAATGTCATATCCTAGAGGAATGTTTGTACAAATCATTTAAAAATGAATAGTTTACAAATAACTTAGCTTTAGTCTTTAAGTATTTACATACATTTATTTATGATTTGTCACACATAAAAGGACATTCTTCTTCTTAATTATATCTTGCTGATACTTAATTTTAAAGTTTTTTTTTGTTTTAATTACACAACTGGTGGTGACAATATAACCCTAGATGGCTATGGTATATTTGTTCAGGTGCCTTGAGAAATACCAAAATTTTTGACAATGTTTTTTTTCCTTTGGGTCAGATCTTTTTTATTACAATGAAAGATAAATTTCAGTAAACTAAGAGACAGAGACTCTACACAGAGTTTCAGTTTCCCCTTAGCTCCTATAAAATGGAATGTCATGCTACTGAGATATCTCATGCACTGCTCTTGCCTTCTGTCTGAAGATGGGATTCATGAATTACCTGAATCATCTGGATCCCTAGAATTGGATTAGTGGCTCAGACAACTCCATCTTTTGGGACAGATGATAGAAGGTATCTATTTCCTACAGCTAGGTTTTTGCAGTAAGATTACATAACTCTTATTTGATCTTTCTCATTATTTTTTTCAGGACATAAATTGTGTTCCAATTCTGATATCCAATGATCTTACCTCATTTGGGGTAGGTTAAAGTAGATACTCATTAGGACTCTAAGGAGCATATTTTTCTACTTAGTGCAAACGTCAGAAAGTAAGTAATCATGTTTAAACTGACAAGAGCTTTAACCAGGAAGTTGCCTACATCACAAGATCTCCTTCCTGTGGTAGTGTGCATGGAGTCTTCCACAAAGAGACAGACAGATGCCTGCAATAACCGGCTTAAGAAAAGATAACCATCAATACCACTGGTTGATTTCATCTGCTCCTATGAGAAGGACAGATTGTACATGGTGCTGTCAGATGATCTCAGAACATAAAGAGATTTCCTGAGAGATCGTTATAATATTGGGATAAAACTTTACTGCAAAAATCTCATAGAGTGAATGAATGATAGAGGTAAACAAAAGTTTATTCTATTAAAACTTACATTTTGCAGCTTATTACAACATATGTTATGATTTGAATGTGTCCCCTCCAAAGTTCAATCATTGCCAATATGATGGTATTAAGAAGTGATTAAGATAGGTATTAAGATGGTCTTTAAGAGGTGATTAGGCCTTACAGTCTCTTCCTGGCTAATGGAGTTAAAAAGCCCTTACAAAAGAGGCGTCCCGCAATGCTTGGCTAGTTGCCCTTCCACCTTATGCCATGTGAGGATGCAGCAAGAAGGCCCTCACTAGATCAAATGCCTAGAGCCTTGACCTTGTATTTTCCAGCCACTGAAACTGTGAGAAAGTAATTTTTTTTTCTTTATAAAATAGTCTGTGGTATTTTGTTATAGGAGCACGAATGGACTAAGACAACATGCATGTAATTAACAAATGGGTCTTGGGTATAGGCATGAAGGAGATAGCTTTCCAGTTTGCTAAGAGATGTCTAAACTGGACATCCTTAACAGCTGCCCCTCCACCCATAACCATTGCACCGGTTTCTATATAAAAGGTCAGAACTCTGCCTTTTACTTCGAGAACTTCTTTTCTGGGAAGGTCTAACAGCTTACTATCCAACCCATTATAACTAGCTATAATATTCTGTCAAATTCCTTCAAATTGATTTCTCTGTCTCAGACCACCATAACCCATCACAATTCTGAAAGCTGAAATAGGATGAGCACCCTCTTCTCTACAGATAGCCCTATATGGAACCCTTGGCTTCTGCTGAGATAAGATTTGAGATAGGAGAAAGAGAAAAGCTAGTTTGCCAACCAGAGGGAGGATGATGTGTTCAGTTTGCAAATGGTAAGATTTAGATGTTCTGTAGACAACTAGAAGTATTGGAATCCAGGCTTGGATGAGAGGTTTGGCTTGGTACATCAATTGAGTAGTCATTAGTATAAAAATTACAACTGGGCCGGGCGCGGTGGCTCATGCTTGTAATCCTAGCACTTTGGGAGGCCAAGGCAGGTGGATCACCTGAGGTCAGGAGTTCGAGACCAGCCTGGCCAACATGATGAAACCCCATCTCTACTAAAAATACAAAAAATTAGCTGGGCTTGGTGGTGGGTGCCTGTAATCCCAGCTAATCGGGGGAATGAGGCAGGAGAATTGCTTGAACCCGGGGGGTGGAGGTTGCAGTGAGCTGAGATCGCACCACTTCACTTCAGCCTGGGCAAAAGAGTGAAACACCATCTCAAAAAAAAAAAAAAAAAAAAGACAACTGGAGCTAGAAGGCAGGATTGGTAGGCAAAGGGGAAGTAAGTGGAGAGAGATGGGGATTGAGGACCCAGTCTTGCAGCAAGAAGAGGAAGAGAGTTACTGAAGGAGATGTGAAAGCCAGGTAGAGAGGTAAGAGAAACCTATTACAACGGCCCCATCACAGGGGGCCTTCACAGTCACACAGGCTTCACATTTGGATCTCTAAATGAGATCATGTCTCTATATTTTGTGAATATGTATTAAACGTTTAATTTAGAAGCAATAAATATTTAAAACATACTGAAATGTTGGGACACTGTAAAAGAAATGGGCTGTGTGTAGTGGTCACACCTGTAATCCCAGTGCTTTGGGAGGATGAGGTGGGAGGACTGATTGAGCCCAGGAGTTTGAGACCAGCCTAGGCAACATATTAAGACCCTGCCTTTACAAAAAAAAAAAAAAAGTTGGGTATGGTGGCGCATACCCATAGTCCCAGCTACTTGGGAGGCTGAGATGGGAGGATTGCTGGAGCTCAGGGATTTGAGGCTGCAGTGAGTCATGATCACACCACTGCACTGCAGCCTGAGCAACAGAGCAAGACTCTGCCTCAAAAAATAAATAAATGAATGAAAGAAATGAAAGTTGCTTGGATTCTTACTAACTTGTGATTAGTCTTGGGAGGAAAATTAGAAGACTGTTCCAGGAACAGGCAATTGAGGTTGTCAGAAAAGTGAGATGTTGGCAAGATGTCAAAGAGAATAAGAACTGAGAGAAGACCATGATGTTCAGCAAGGGGGCCACTAGAACTCCATAAGAGAGAGGCCTGGGTATTGTGGTCAGAGGAAGTCAAGGAATTAGTAAATGCTAAAGAAAGTGGGACAGGTCTCAAGCATCCTTTAGAGAAGTTTGGCAATTAGAAGTGTGTGTGTGTGTGTGTGTGTGTGTGTGCGCGCGCACGCCAGTGTTCATTTTTACCTCTCATCTCCTATCTCATCCAATACCTAATATTCTCTAGGGAAATGGAATCCTGGCTGAAAGGCAGGCTTGTCCTTCAGCTGTCACAGTGCCCAAGAAGCGCACAGCAGGGAGTCTTTTTTTTTTTTTTTAAATTTACGCTGTGGTGCTGGGAGCCAGAGACAGAGACAAAAAAAGCTGTCCTGGAGTCTGTTGCATTGTGACTGAATCAAGTTATCTATAAAAGGACTCAAAATAGGAGTCTGGGTTCACAGCTTAAAGGAATGAGGCTAAACAGCAGAAAGGCTCAAGCAACCACTGGTGGAGGGGAACAAGTAAGAACTTGTCTGGAGAAGTCTGGCGCCAAGTATAAATACCCACTGCTGACATTCACACATTCCCAGCTTGCTTGTCCAAGGGCAAGCAGGAGTCATTTACAGCCTGAACCTAATAGGCATCTAATATTGTTATGTGTTGTCATATCTCAACCACCACCATCACCACCACTCCCAGCTAGCACTCACAGAGCACCTGACCTGGGATCAGTGCCTGAATCAGAAACAGAAACTTCTAGACTGATGTGGTTCAGTGGTGCTTACATAGGCTATTGTTTACTACATCTGCACCCACCTTTCAGGAAGCATTTGGCTTGTACATTTAGCTCTGTGGCCCACTGAAGAGAATTTCCTGTGGGCAGTGGGGTGAGGAACCCTGCCTTAATCTGTTTCTCAGGTATTCTTCTCCCCTGCTTTTATGTGTCAGAACCTGTATAATCATTGTAGGGCCTATCCAGGAGTAGGCAGAGCCAGAGTGCCCATTCCTGATGTCCACAAAGTACGGTAATGCACCCAGGCTTGATTTGGAGCCACTCTTGCCTTCCTGACTGTTTTCAAAGATATGTCGCATGGCCTCTGAGCCAGTGCAACAAGCCTTGCAGGCATTGGTATTTGCACAACAAATAGTATTTTTTTTTTTTGGCTTAAATAAGGGAAATAGGGAATATTTATCACAGCTATACATTTATTCATCATTTAATTCCCATTTATTTATTCATTAATTTATTCAAACACTTCTTAAGCATGCACCATGTGTCATGCCCATCTTAGAGGCCACAAAGGTTCTAAAACTATTACTTGTGGACAGAAAAAGAGACCCATATACATGTAGCATTATGTCTTATTGGAATTCAGAGCAGGAAGAGAACACATCTGGCTGGGGGCAGGATGAGGAAGGACCTGATAAATTTTCTATTGAACAATTACTCTAAATAAGTGTGCTTTCTTTAGATGGTAAGGATTAGACCAGGATTCAAGATTACTGGATTTTGAGTCAAAGTTTGAGCTCCTTGGGGGAAAATCTGCATATATGCAGAGTCATGGTGGTAATTACAGTATTAAGCCCCATTTTGGAACACTTTGATCTGATCTGATTCAAAATTTTATTTCCTGAAAGGTTTGCTCATGTCATATTAAGGTACTCTTGTCTTTTTATTTGCAAACTCATTTAAAATCTAAATACTGCTGCTCTCTGCTTTGGACTTGGCTGCTTTTCAATAACAGGAAGGAACAATACTGTTTTCATCAGTTTTGTACATGGGCCACGAGAAGGCAGCATTTTACTTCTTTTAAGATTTAATGCTGGTCTACAAAATGCTGAGCTGTGCCTGGAGGGCTTTGTGGTGTGGAAAATCTTCAGAAATGTTCAGTGAAACCCAGCATCCTCTGATTCATCTTTAAAGAGGAGAAAAAATTATTCTATGTGACTCTATTACCAATCTTTGGGCACAGAACCAAATAATTCGGCCAGGCTCTCAGTCTTCATGGTTGAAAAGTTATCAGGAAATTTAAAATTTAAATTCATAGTTACAGAGCCACTAGTGAAAATTTGCTTTTTAATGAAAAATTTTTTTTTGGTCTACATTTTCACCCTCTGCGGTGGGGGCTCTTTTAAATGCCCCTGTTTAACCATACTGCATCCAGAAATGTATACATATCACAAACCTGTTGGTAATGACACCAAGGCAAGCTCCGTTTCCTTTCCCATCATCGGTGGACCACACCTACACCAGCGCTTCCTTCTGCGCATCCTATGGCACCCGTCTACTTTCTGCTTTGGGAATCCCCACAGAGGCTAGCACAGTGCTGAACTTGTAAAACGTACACAATAAACGTTCTATTTCTTGAACGACATTGGATGATAATGCAATCTCTCTCTTGTAAGAGAGAGGAGAAAGAGAGAGAGAGAAGTGAGAGGAGAGAGAGACAGAAGAGAAAGGTGAGGGGGGAGGGGAGAGAGACACAGAGACAGAGTCAGAGACAGAGAGAGACCAAAAGGGAACAGCTGGCAGCAGCAGGGAGGCAGGCTTGAGGAGTTGGTGTCTGATTTACGTGGGGGCCACAGATTGGTTTGATCAGGTGTGAAGTTTACAGGGCGCTGGGAAGGCTGGTTGCCCCACCCTAATCTTATGCAAATGGGCTTTCCACTTGCTCAGCGCCATCTCGTCTACTCTTTACTGTACACGTGGCTGGCAAAGAGAAGGGAAGATAGAGCTCTCGTTTTGAACATGTAATTCCAGGTAGTATTTTCCTATTGGCACAACTTCACGCATTTGCCTGTGCAGGCTTCCACTTCGCTTGCCTATGTCTGCAACTTCATTTTACAGTCTGCTCTTTGTTAGGAAAACAAATGATTTGAGGGCTGCTTTTAATTAAAAGGTAAAACTTACCAAGGACTCCTGTACCCTCACTATCTGCCTAACTAATTTCTTCTTAACTCCTATATCAACAAAACCCCACGATAATTTTTTTCCTATGAAAAAATATTTTATTTGAAGAAATTAACGTAAGCTGTGTGTGGTGGCTCACACCTGTAATCCCAGTGCTTTGGGAGGTCAAGATGGGAGGACCCCTCGAGGCGAGAAGTTTGAGACCAGCCTGGGCAACATAGGAAGACCCTGTCTCTATAAAAAGTTAGAAAATTAGCCGGGCATGGTAGTGTGCACCTGTAGTCCCAACTCCTTGGGAGGCTGAGATAGGAGGATCATTTTTGGCCCCAGGAGTTTGAGGTTACAGTGAGCTGTGATTGTACCACTGCACTCCAGACTGGGTGACAAAACAAGACCCTGTCTCCAAAAAAAAAAAAAATTAATATAAAATGTGGAACTTTTCGCTAGTGGAGATGAATGAATATACTGTGCAGATTTATGGAAGTATGACATCTAAAAAGACCAGAATAGTTCCTAAGTGAAAAGCGGAAGGATATGCCCTAGAAGAGGGCATAACTGAATGTGTGGGGAAGGTTTTCAAACTTTACTTCTTCTAATGCAAACCTCTGTGACCCCTTACAACCCCTTCCTCTGGATGGGTATCATTCCATATCATTACAGGCAGTACTGAGAGGGAGATTACAAATTGTAAACATTTTCAGAGGTGGGAGGAGAAAAGATGGAAACCATAAAGACACAGCTATATAAAAGGTTAATTGCATATATATTTGGTTATGGTAATTTCTGTATATATGCTTCATATCTTTTACAGTCAGTGTGTTAGTGGCAAATAAATACGTAGAACTTACTTCAAAATATTTTGTTGTTTCTTAAAGTGCCTAATTGTACCATAGTCCAACACGAAGCCCTTTTATAAGAGAGATGGAAGAGCATGCAGAATCTAATCATTAGATTCAATAAGTAAATATGTATTGAGTACTGATGAAGTACCAACTAAACATTATGATTCATTTTGATAAAACAAGCCAGTCACATTAGTAAGAAACAGCTCACTCTGGCTGGAGAACTTGTTCCCTACTTTCACAAGGTTGACTTCTTAATCCGATCAAATGAAAATGTCATGTTCACCAGAAAGGCCATTTCTGATCATCTAATTTATAGACTGAACACCCCTCACCCTGTCATTCTACTTTACAGCACCTTGTTCTGTTCACAATTTATAATTGTATTATCACTTGTTTACTTGATTAATGTCTGTCTCACTCATAGATCGTGAACTCCATGAAAGCAAGAATCAAATCTGTTTTGAAGCACTCCCAGCATTTAGGGAAATACCTGAAGTAGAAGGCATTCAGTAAATACTTGTGGAGTGAATGTATATATTCTTGCTCTATATGTGAAAACACCATTTATTCATACAGTTAAACTATGATGTCAGTATTATGTCAGATTATTATAATGTCATATTCATTAACAACGAGACCCATAGTAAAAACAAAAATGTATTTGACAAACTGTTCATTAGTAGGAAATTGAGTTTAGTATAGATGAAATTTTCAGGTAAGATATTCTTATCTTTTTGAAGATATGACAGCATATTTAAGCTTTGGGCAAGGCAGACTTTTTTTTTTTTTTTGAGACAGATTTTCACTCGTTGCCCAGGCTGGAGGGCAACGGTACGATCTCGGCTTTCCGCAACCTCCGCCTCCCGGGATCAAGCAATTCTTCTGACTCAGCCTCCCGAGTAGCTGGGATTACAGGCATGCGGCACCACGCCCGGCTAATTTTGTATTTTTAGTAGAGATGGGGTTTCTCCATGTTGGTCAGGCTGGTCTCAGACTCCCAATCTCAGGTGATCTGCCCGCCTTGGACTTCCAAAGTACTGGGATGACAGGCGTGAGCCACTGCGCCCGGCCTGGGCTATTTTTGTTTCCCACAGATGTTTACACCAGAATGGCTGTTGCCCGGTTTGATTGCGCCAGTGTCTGACAGCTGTGTGGTGCCTGTATCATAACAGTTGTTAAATAATTTGAATATATAATGTTTAAATATGTAGCTTGTCTTTGATCTTTTGACAACAGAGATAGCTTCATTTACCTAAAGGGGTACTGATTTTAAAAATTAATTCATTTGAATTTAAACACAGCATATGCTAGACAAAACTCTTAGGGAAAGAATATGTATATACGTGCATGTAAACCACACAGACTGAAAGAGAAGCATTCAGTACATAAATTATTAGGCTCAAGTAGGAGGTTACTATAGAGTTAGCTGCTACTTATTTTCAGAATTTGATTTTATATTTTGAATTGGAAGAATGCCGATCTGGGAGTCAAAAACTCTTAATTTTGAGCCATGGGTGCATAACCTTGGGTATTTTAATATTGGGCTTAGTTTACTGGTTTGCAAAAGAGATGAGTGGACAAGATATCTTTAAAGTCTATTCTAGGCATGAATTTTCATGATTCTGCAGTATATGTTCCTTTTAACAAGTGAGACATTACCAGGATAAATATAGGAAAAACTAGTAGTATCCCCTTACCCCCTCACCCTCCTGAGTAACCAATTTAATATGCACAGAACATCCTTCTATCATCCTTTTTGGTACACACAAACATATATAAACAAAAATAAATGTATGTAAGCTTTCTTGCCTGAAAAAAGTAAAATAAAATATACATTATTCAGATGTGTTTCCCTGCTAATAGACATCTGAATGTCTTCAGTTTTTATTTTTGTCACTATAAATAATATTTCAGTAAACACCATTGTAGAAGTATCACTATATGCTGATGCTTTTGTTTTTTTTCTGTCAGATACATTTTTGAAAATAGGATTTTTGGGTCAAAGGTATATGCAGTTTTCATTTTAATAGATAATTGCTAATTTATTTCTAAAATATTTGTGGTGATTTAGAATGGTAACAGTGCCAATTGCCAGCACTGAGTTAATATTTTGTTTTCTATTGCTGCTCACCTGAAGGCTAAAAATGATGCCATTTTAGTTTAATTTGAATTATCTAGATTTTGTTGGAACAAGAAAAAAGAATTCTACTTGCATCTCTTCAAATGATGGGTCTGCATACCGTCTACTATGAATTGGCAATTCGTAGCCTTTGCATATGTCCATTTTAATATGATCAACTTTTAGATATTATATATACTGTAAATATTTTTTCCAGTCTTTAGTTTGTCTTTCTGCTATGGTTTACATAGCGAGATATACTTGTTTTTTATAAAATAGGTGGTTTGTTTTCTGTCGTTCTTAAGTGAGAAGATCTTCACCAAGGGCTTCCTTCTGGAATTTTTATAGGTTTATTTAAAAATATTGGCCGGGCGCAGTAGCTCACGCCTGTAATCCCAACACTTTGGGAGGCCGAGGCGGGCGAATCACGAGGTCAGGAGATTGAGACCGTCCTGGCTAACACGGTGAAAACCCATCTCTACTAAAAATACAAAAAATTAGCCAGGCGTGGTGGCGGGCGCCTGTAGTCCTAGCTTCTCGAGAGGCTGAGGCAGGAGAATGGCGTGAACCCCAGAGATGGAGGTTGCAGTGAGCCGAGATCGTGCCACTGCACTCCAGCCTGGGCAAGAGTGAGACTCTGTCTCAAAAAACAAAACAAAACAAAAATATTTAATTCACCTGAACTTTAAAAAATATATAAATAGTCTAAATTTGTATTTTTACATGGGGTTTTTAATGGAGATGTACTGAATTAAAAGCTCATTTTGTCATATATAAGGCTCTTATGTGTACTTGGATGTAATTCTAGATTCCGTGCTCTATTCTCTAGATTTGCTTATTCATGTGCCAGTGCTATACTATTCTATTTTTTTTAAAGGTTTAAAACATTTATCACTAAAGATACTAGAATGTTCTTTGAAAACCTATTAAGACATTTAACTATTCTTTTATGCTATTCTGATCAAAAGAAAGAATAAAAGTTTAGGAAAGGGAAAAATGCACATTTCTTAAAAAAGTTTATTTCTAGCCCTGAAAGAACAAAATTATTGAACAAAGTCATAAAATACAGCAGTTAATGTCAATGTATAACAATTAAATAATTGAATGGGATTAAATTAAAAATAAAAGACATTATAAAATTTGAAGACAACAGAAAAGACAAACTATAATTTTACTTAATTCCATTTCTATCACAACAAGAAAAAAAAGCCAATGCGTTCCAACCAAAGATGCTGAATTCCAAACATAATTGTTTCTCTTAATAAAGAATAGAAGTGTGCTTGACAGAATTATCATCCATTTCTTTCTGCCTCTGTCTTGGCAGCATTCTAGAGAAGTGAATGGGAAAGACTTCCGTTCTTTCAAGGCCAGGCCAGTGTTTGCTTCTTCTTTCTAACTCCAACCTCGTCTACCACAGCATCTTTGCCAGAGTGTTCAATCAGTGTGTTGACTGAGAAAAAAGAATGTGTGTATATATTTTTTCTTATATACACACACTATCAAAAAACTGATTTCACCAGTTTCAATACCTACTGTGGGAGCAGCAGAGACAGGAAGACAATCTGCTTCTTGTATTACTATGAAGTTCCACTATAAAAAACCCCAAATGAGTATTAATCTGGATTTTAGCTATAATCTATAATATTTTGACACTGACATTTCACTAGATGTGGATCTCAGTATATTTAAAAAGATTTAGACTCAAAAATGGATGCAAATTCTTTAAGCATCTATTTTGTTTTTTTCTAATTTTAGCTACTACCTGATCAGATCTAAAATTATTCTGGCTAGAATACAGTATATACAAACGTATTTAAGTGAGCCCTATAAAGAAATACTCATAGGTAGTTTAAAATTTCTTGTTAAAGGCACAGGCTCATTTACAGTTGGTGGTTACTAGACTCTAAGCAGCTTAACATTTATATGTTAAAGGGAAGAGAATTAGTACTATGTGCCAGGCACTCGACACATGAAGACAGAGTTGTATTAGCCTCGGTGTCTTACGCTTCACAATTACTCATTTACTATTCTAGGTAGGATAAAATGTTCCATGTTTCATAGTTTCCCAGTTTTAACTGTCCCTAAAAGCAGCAGAAGAAAAAAGAAAAAGTCTAAAATATAATAAATAAGTACTATAGTAACACTGTCCTAATAACACAAGAGGACTATTAAAGTAACTTTTAGATTTAAATGGGAATTTTCATTCTAAAGTGATGACAAAAAGGGTAAATATAAAAGGCAATTATTTAAAAAACATGAGGCCAGGTGTAGTGGCTCGTGCCTGTAATTGTAGCACTTTGGGAGGCCAAGGTGGGCAGATTGCCTGAGCTCAGGAGTTGGAGACAAGCCTGGGCAACATGGTGAGACTCTGTCTCTACTAAAAATACAAAAAATTAGCTGGGTGTGGTGGCACGCACCTGTGGTCTCAGCTACTCAGGAGGCTGAGGCATGAGAATTGCTTGAACCCAGGAAGCGGAGGTTGCAGTGAGCTGAGATCATGCCACTGCGCTCCAGCCTAAGTGACAGAGTGAGACTCTGTATCAAAAAAAAAAAAAAATAAAATAAAAAATAAAAAACATGAATCTTGATTCAGATATAATTTTTCTTTCAACAAGTTCTCAATGTTTTAATTTAAAATTAATAAATCACAATTCTGTATTGCTTTTAAGATTTTGTTTAAAAATGACACATCTCAAAATTAACCAAACTATATTTCTGCTAGAGGTTAGTTTATCCATGTAACTTAAGAATAAACCACAGTGTAGCTCCCTTAACCAAAGAGCCAGGTTTTAATGACTGAAGTCAGCTGCCAGCAATGGACATGCAGGTAACTATTGAAGAAGTTGTAGCTACAAATCCCAAACTGCTTCTATCAATGGAAAAGCCCTTTGTTGAGTCACAAGCCTGAAGTGAGGCCTTGGCACATAGTCAGTGAGAATGGTCTTTGACTTAGAAGGGAAGTGCCTCTGAGTGCATGAGGATCACAGTCTTCTCATCTCGTTGGTTTTCTATTTCATTGGTAGCATCTTCTTTATCATAATCCATCCATTTACAAAGAATGTTAAAATTTGGAACTCAGGTGGCACTGCAGCTTTCTGACAGAAATAAACCAGTTTCTGTAATTCAGTAATAGCTGTAGAAGGCCAATATATTCCAGAGAAAAATGAAATCAAGAATTATATTGAAAACAGAGACCATTAAGTGCTCTAAATATGTTTCATTAATTATTTTACTCATTTTTCTGAAAATCTTGCCTTATCAATAAAAAACAGTCACTTCTCTCCTTATAATTGTATCTTATCATAGATATAGTGGGAATAAAATAACGGAAATAAAACCCTGCTAGTTTCCCCAATGTATACTACAACAGCAAAATTATTTTTTATTCATGATTTATACTACTGCAGGATGGCAAGCAGGGGGGAAGTTAATGGGGGAAGGGGATGGTGGGAACAAAATGCCAGAACCAAACCAAATACTTGAACAACCTATTCCAAAGCAAAACAATGAATAAAGGAGAAGGAGAGGAGATGAAAGAAGAGAAGAGAAAGGGAGGGGAGGGGAGAAGGGAGGGCACTCAAATAATTAATGCTACAGGTCTCAGATCTTTCAGAATCTTTAAAAGAAACAAATTATTGCTCTCAACACGCACATTTCATTTTCCTTTCTTGTGTTTTTACATTAATAGTCTCTACCTATTTGAAAACAAAACAAAAGTAACTCAACATCTCAAATGATCTATAAATTCATCAAGAAATACTCTGTCGCTCAAGTTCTCATAGATAATACCACACTGATGATGACCTGGAGCAATGCCGCCGCCTCCAAGTCTCTACAGTTGATTTCCTATCGGCTGCTTCTCTGTAACACTAACATTCTCTTTCATGAGTATAATCTCTTCTCACTATATCAGAGATCACCAAGGTTCACGTCTCTCACTCTGCGCCTGCTAGTCCCAAATATTGTTCTCCTTTAAGTGGAAAAAAGCTAATTTTAAATTCCCGAAAATTCACTGGTTATTATATTATTTGCCATGGGAGGGGGGTATCTGTGAGGTGAAAGAGGATTAATGAAAAACAAAAAGAACAAAAATAAACCTAAAATTGCAACATATACAGAAATTTATTTCCAAATTGAAGGGGGAAAGGAGGGAAGAAGGTAGTGGCACTAACCAAAGTCACAAAGCCCAGGTTGGAACAAGAACAAATCACTTTGGTTCCTAGAGCCAAGCCTGAAGGGGAAACAGGCAGAAGGGAAGACGAAATGGGAAGAAATACACGGTCAATGGGAATCTTTTTCTATCTCAATGATTTAGTTATAAATAGAGATTATTAGTCTTCTCTCTATACATGTAACAAATGCCAAACTTACTACCACAAAATTTCTAAAACTGACTTTTTCACATTTATTAAAAAAGGTAAAAATCAAATACTTTTCTTCCCTTCCTTCAGGTCAAGTTCTGAACTAAAATATTACATGTAACAACAGCTGGTCCTAACTTTTATAAAAAGTGAAACTATATAGAGCTCCTTTGCCAACATAAGGAGCTACATAATTTCTATTACACTTACCTAGGCATGAGAAACTCAAAAGCAACTCAAAAGGAGCAAGTCCAGGAAAAGGAAAGCTATGAAGGAGAGAAAGACTAGCAGATGAAACAAATACTCTGAAAAACTCCAATCTGCCATTCAAGTATTGGAAATACCCCAAAGGGGACAATGAATGGGATCTATTACAACAAAGTCAGCAAAGTAAAATGCAAATCTCACATATGATAAATGGCCCTGATAGGCGGTTTGCTGAAAGACCTAAGGCTAGTGATTCAGTCCACAATTCCTTTTGGACCCTAAAGAAGGGGTTCATATAAAAGTCATACTTTTCTTTTTGCAATTTTCTCTTGGTTGTCTTCAGAGAATAGTCATTTGCTTCTTTCATTCAGGTTATGCAGACCATTTCTTTAAACCCCCAAAAGAGTAATAATTTTCATATACTAAAAGGCTTCTTGTAGAAAATGGAAAAAAGAATATGAGGCCACAGCAGTGATGTTAACGGTTACTCTTCATTGCTTCTTTAGCTGCCATGATCAGTGGTGTCAAGCTAGATAACAGTTTGGCTAGTTTCAGGAAAAGATGCTGTAATAATTCTTTGGCTGAACCCCTTTTTTCCACATCTGTTTCCAAACATCGATTTAAGAAATCCCGAAATATTGGGGAAAGTGTCTCTGGATTCTGAAGTTCTGGGATTCCATTAGTTGCTATTAGGCACAAGGCCCTCAAGGGATTTTCATTGAGGTATGGAGGCTCTCCTTCTACCATCTCAGTAGCCATGATACCCAGAGACCATACATTGACTTTAGGGCCATAAGCCTTCCGTGTAACCACTTCTGGTGCCATCCAGTATGGCGTTCTGACCACGGTACTGCGTTTGCTCTGCTCAGGGGTGATCTGGGCACAGAAACCAAAGTCAGTGAGCTTAACCGATCCTTCCATTCCCAAAAGTACACTGTCACTTTTGATGTCTCTGTGGATCACTTGATTAGCATGTAAAAACTCCAATGCCTGTAAACTCTCTCTGCATACAGCGGCAATCTGTGCTTCATCCATGCAGGTTTCTGTTACCACATCAGTGAGTGACCCCCTAGCAAGGTATTCCACGACCACAAACAATTCATCTCCTACCAGGTAACTGTCCAAGAAGTTAACTATGTTGGGATTTTTTAATTCTTTCATTACCAGAATCTCATTAATGATCAAGTCCTTCTTTGGCTGTTTCTGTAAATTAATTTGTTTGATAGCAACCTTCTGTCCCAGTGCAACGTCAGTAGCAGTGAAAACTGTACCAGAAGCCCCTTGTCCAATTTTTTCATATCTTGTATATTTTTTTCTTAGGGTCACCTATGCTCACAATAGTTCTTAGTTTCTCCATAATCTCTTCATCTGTCATCTTAGTCTTCTTTTTCTGTTTGTCTAAAGACTTGGCACCACCATCAACATTTGAATCACCAACTGGTGCAGGAACAGGGTCAATTACAGACCGTGTGTAAATTGATTTCATATGATCCGGTGGTGGGGCAATAACGGGAGGGGCAGTCTCTTCATCATCGTCCTCCTCCTCTGTCACTACTGCAGGTGCTTCTGTTCCCTCGGCATTCAGTGCTGGTGTTCCAGAAGGGAAGCCATCTTTCTCAGGAGGAGTAAAACTCAGATACTTCTGCTTCACTGTGTTGGAGTCGTAGACATCCAGCACAGCCTGAGGATTCTTCTTTTGCTCTAGTTTGGTGATATTTGAGGTCTGTAGTAATCGAGCCCAGTGTTCTGGCATGCCAGTGAATTCTCCAGTAACAGCATCAAAGCCAACATGGATGGTGTGTTCAAAATCAGATGGAGGAGAAATTTCTGGCCGTTCCTTTTCTTTCTTTTTACTTCCTTTCTCTGTGCCTGAGAATATGGAGATGATTTTATGCCTGGGCTTTTTCTCCTCTGGAACAGAAGGCAAAGGTTTCAAACTGTGATTGGCTGACAAAGGGTCTTTGCCTCCAGTGCTAAAGATGGTCCCGCTCATTCGCACGGGAGGTGCTGGAGGCTTGTCTTCCAGTTCTCCGTTATCACACATGATTCAGAATTATGAAATGGCCCCAGGTGAGGCAAGTTCCCCACCCCAGTGAGGCGCCTTGGTCAGAGCTCCTGGGAGGTTGCGGAGGCGCCTGGTACCAAAACAGAGATATAGACCAATGGAACAGAACAGAGCCCTCAGAAATAATACCACACATCTATAACCATCTGATCTTTGACAAACCTGACAAAAACAAGAAATGAGGAAAGGATTCCCGATTTAATAAATGGTGCTGGGAAAACTGGCTAGCCATATGTAGAAAGCTGAAACTGGACCCCTTCCTTACACCTTATACAAAAATTAATTCAAGATGGATTAAAGACTTACATGTTAGACCTAAAACCATAAAAACCCTAGAAGAAAACCTAGGCAATACCATTCAGGACATAGGCATGGGCAAGGGCTGCATGTCTAAAACACCAAAAGCAATGGCAACAAAAGCCAAAATTGACAAATGGGATCTAATTAAACTAAAGAGCTTCTGCACAGCAAAAGAAACTACCATCAGAGTGAACAGGCAACATACAGAATGAGAAAAATTTTTGCAATCTACTCATCTGACAAAGGGCTAATACCCAGAATCTATAATGAACTCAAACAAATTTACAAGAAAAAAACAACCCCATCAAAAAGTGGGTGAAGGACATGAACAGACACTTCTCAAAAGAAGACATTTATGCAGCCAAAAGACACATGAAAAAATGCTCATCATCACTGGCCATCAGAGAAATGCAAATCAAAACCGCAATGAGATACCATCTCACACCAGTTAGAATGGTGATCATTAAAAAGTCAGGAAACAACAAGTACTAGAGAGGATGTGGAGAAATAGGAACACTTTTACACTGTTGGTGGGACTGTAAACTAGTTCAACCATTGTGGAAGTCAGTGTGGCGATTCCTCAGGGATCTAGAACTAGAAATACCATTTGACCCAGCCATCCCATTGCTGGGTATGTACCCAAAGGATTATAAATCATGCTGCTATAAAGACACATGCACACGTATGTTTATTGCGGCACTATTCACAGTAGCAAAGACTTGGAACTAACCCAAATGTCCAACAATGATAAACTGGATTAAGAAAATGTGGCACATATACACCATGGAATACTATGCAGCCATAAAAAATGATGAGTTCATGTCCCTTGCAGGGACATGGATGAAGCTGGAAACCATCATTCTCAGCAAACTATCGAAAGGACAAAAAAACCAAACACCACATGTTCTCACTCATAGGTGGGAACTGAACAATGAGAACACATGGACCCAGGAAGGGGAACATCACACACTGGGGCCTGTTGTGGGGTGGGGGGAGGGGGGAGGGATAGCATTAGGAGATATGCCTAATGTTAAATGATGAGTTAATGGGTGGAGCACACCAACATGGCACATGTATACACATGTAACAAACCTGCACGTTGTGCACATGTACCCTAAAACTTAAAGTATAATAAAAAATAAAAACATACAACCAAACAAAAAAAAGAATGCTGGAAAAGCACAAATGTAACGTTTTATGTGGTGGGACAGCCCTTTCAAAAGTGTTTTCCACTGCTTATACTGATGAAGGTAGAAAAAAATTTCACTTATTTTAACTCTTCCTTTAAAAACTTCTTTTTGGTGGCTCATGTCATGCATACTCCACAAGTCCTGGAAGTTAAATGCTCTTAAATATTTGATGGTCTGGTCTTAGCAAAACGGCAGGTTTTTACTTTTACATTTTTAGCTATGTTTTAAATTATTTGTAATCCAGACACTGAAGTTTTATTTTGTTGTGAATTGAATCTGGGCAGAGTGTACAAGGGATCTCTCTGTATTATTTTTACAACTACATGTGAATCTATAATTATCTCATCAAAAATTCACTGAAAAAGGTATCACGGAGCCCATGTTTGCTGTTACCGTCTTTGCTCCTCCCAGGTTACAATGCCCCGTGCCTCTCAGTGCACAGTGAAAATGCAGCAGACGTTTTTGATGTGAGCTCCACGGAATGGATCCAGACTGTCCCCTTCAACAAGGTAATTTGACCTTAAGATTATGCAACTAATGAGTTAATGACTGAAACGCGGAAACAGAAATAATCCATTGTACATTTACTGTAATGGGTACTTGCTAGTTTGGAGGCTTAACAAAGAGTATAAAAAACAAAACCCTACAAAACATTATATTGATTAATTGCATTACTAGTACTAGAGCCATTTGTGACATCTAGTTCCATTATATAAAGTAGTATTGTTATAGATAAATATATTATTTATTTATACCATACAGCACAGCAGTTATTTCCCATATTCAGTTTAAAGTTACTTTATCAGTAATTTTTACTTACCAGTATAATTTGTTCCTTTTATACTTACCAGTATAAAAAGGAACACTTTACAGGGTAAAAGGAACATTTTTACAGGGTAAAAAAAGAAAAAAGCATATAACCAAGGCTGTGTTTCAGATTCTCAATAGGATCTCACAATGGTGATGTTTTGCAAAACAAGGACATTGACAGTAACTCCATCTACTTACCTTAGGCAGATTTTCCTAGTTTTACTTTCACTGTGTGTGTATTAATGTCTGTATAATTCTACCACCTGTGTGAATTCATGTATCCACCACTAGTCAATATACTGAATGGCTCCAGCACCACAGTGGGTCCCTCAAGAGCCCTTTTATAATCACTCCCCCTCCCTCACACCTCCTTCCGCTTTCCTAACCCCTGGCAATCAGTAACCTCCATTTCTAAAATTTTATCATTTCAAAAATGTCTAACAAATGGCGTTATATAGTATTCATGATTTTTATCTGCTAAGTCCAAATTTATTTTTCTAAAAAAAACAAACTTTGGATTAGAAACCCAGGAGAATCCCATTACAATATTCTTATCATATAGCAGCTACATCAAAAAATTTTTGGAATATATACAGTTCAAATAAATAGACAAAAACAAGTGATGCCCATCAGTCAGATGATAGAGTAACTTCAATTCATATGGTCCAAGTCTGACAAAAATGCATTCTAACACCTGCATCTAACACCAGCTTTATTGAATAATTTCATCACGTTTCAAAATCTGTGTCTCCTAGACCAGTTGAGCTCACAACAAAAAGCAATTGTAGAGAGTTAGAAAAATATATGAAATTAGTGAACAAAACAGTGAAACCTTCCAACCAGGAATGTTTTTGGAACTTTCTTTGTTAGTAATAGTTCCTTATGGTTCCTAAATATTCAACCTCCCAGCATGAATGTGTCTCCCATCAAAAGAGCCACAGAATAAACACAACCTCTTTTTTCAACATCCCTCTTCCTATGCTCACGTCTCCCATCTTTTTCCCTTGTCTTACAGCCAAATTCCTGAAATTGTTATTGATATTCCTTGCCCTCCACTTCCCACCCCTATTCACACCTCCATCACAGGGCAATCTGACTTACACCTTAATCACTCCATTAAAGCTGCTCTCATACAAGTTATCAGCCATCAGTTGTGAAAACCATCTGACCTGTTTGTCTCTTCTTGGCTGCCCAGCGACACCTGACCCTTCTTTCTTCAGTCCCCACGCTGCTGCTCCCTCGATTTTCCCCACTTCCCTGAATTCTCCTTCCCTGTTTTCTCTGCTCCTCTTCCTCTGGTCGAAGCCCTCTTCCTTTCTCGCTCTGCTTACTCAGCATGTCCAAAGAGTCAGGCTGACACTACCAGAAGCGAGTCATCGATTTTAGCGTGACAAGTGGGATGGCTAGAGATTGTGTGCCATGCACAGTACTGTTCATGAAGTGTTCCTACAACCAGGCTTTAGAGCTCCTTCCCCATTATAGGAAATTCAGGGCATAGAAGTGAAGCAGTATCATGAGGGAGAACAAAGACAGGTGCAGATTGTGGGACATTATGAAGGACAACAAATCAGTGGCAGGGAGGACTGCTCAGGATGAGAGGACCTTTGTGAGAAAGTGGTGTGCAGGGTGGACCTTGTCAGGATTCTGATTCCAATAGACAGACTGCAAAAAGAGAAATACTTGTGATAATCAAGTATGTATGACTGTGGACTATGTATGGGATGATAATCAGAATCATTGAGTACATCTTCAGGAGCGATCACAGCAATGTGATTATGGGAGAAAGTGTCCCTACTTTTAGTGATACATGTTCAAATGTGTAGAGATGGAACAACATGATGTCAGGGATTTGACTTGAAATATTCCAACAACACAACAACAAAGAAAATACTTCAATGGTCACATCTCTTCCTCCATACCCGCCTAGATCTGCTCCACCTTGTGTTTTATGACCTCAGAGTCTATCAGTGGCCTCCGCCCCTTTGCTCAAGTTGGAAACCTGAGAATCATTGCTGATTCTCTTACATGTCAGCTTCCACTTCCAACCAAGTGTGAAGCTTTTGCAATTTTATCTCCTCAATATTCCTCATATCCTCTCCTCTCCATCCCCACCGCTACTATCATACATAATTTTAATTCACAATTTCTCCCGTAACCCCCTAACTGGTCTCTTAGCCTCCAGTAAGTAGTAATTGAATTCCCTTAATTACTAGTGGTGTGGAGCATTCATTTGTGCGCTTATTTGCCACATGTATCTTCTTTGTTGAGGAACCTGTTCAAATACTCCGCCCATTTTAAAAATTTGGGTTGAGTTGGGGAGCGGTGGCTCACACCTGTTATTTCACCACTTGGGAGGCCAAGGTGGGTGGATCACCTGAGGTCAGTTCAAGACCAGCCTGGCCAACATGGTGAAACCTCGTCTCTACAAAAATACAAAAATTAGCCAGGCATGATGGCGGGTGCCTGTAATCCCAGCTACTCGCAGGGGTGGGGGTGGGGGATTGGGAGGCTGAGGGGGGAGAATCGCTTGAATCTGGGAAGCTGAGGTCACAGTGAGCCGAGATTGTGCCATTCCACACCAGCCTAGGCAGCAGAGCAAGACTCCATCTGAAAAAAATAAAATTTGGGTTATTTATTTTCTTATTATTGAGTTTTTAAAATTCTTCATACATTCTGGATACAAGGTTTTTTTGTCATATCTGATTTGCAAATATTTTCTCCAAATCTGTGGCTTGTTTACTTCTCTTAGCAGTAAATTTCAAATAACAGAAATTTTTAATTTTATCAATTTTTTATTTTTATTTTTATTTTGAGACAGAGTCTCACTCTGTCGCCAGGCTGGAGTGCAGTGGTGCGATCTCGGCTCACTGCAACCTCCGCCTCCCAGGTTCGAGGGATTCTCCTGCCTCAGCCTCCCGAGTAGCTGGGACTACAGGTCCCAGCTCGTATAGCCAGCACGCCCAGCTAATTTTAGTATTTTTAGTAGAGAAGGGGTTTCACCATGTTGGTCAGGATGGTCTCAATCTCTTGACCTTGTGATCCACCTGCTTCTGCCTTCCAAAGTGTGGGGATTACAGGCATGAATCAACGTGGCTGGCCCCAAACTTTTATCACATTTTTAAAAGTTTTATACATTGTGCTTTGATGTTGTATCAAAGAATTGTTTGCCTTATCCAAAATCAGAAAGATTTTCTTCATTGTTTACTTTTAGGCACTTCCTAGTTTTAGGTTTACATTTAGTTACATGACCTATTTTGAATTAACTCTCATATATGCTAAGAAATATAGATAAAAGTTGATTTTTTTGCATATGGTTATCTGAGGTTCTAGCACAATTTGTTGACAGCTTTTGCAGCTTGTTGGAAATACTGTATATATTAAAGCAACAGAATAGAGGATCCTGCAATATATATCAGCAAATGTATAAACAGACACATAGATATAGAGATGGATATACACAAAATATTTTTGTATCTGTATATACAGTTCTGAATTTCATATCATATATATTATAGTTTTATTGTTGAAATCAGGTAAAGTTAATTTATCAAATTTGTTCTTTTTTCAGTTATTTTGGCTCTTCTAGATCGTTTGCATTTTCTTATGAATTTCAGAATCAGCTTGTCAATATCTACCAAAAAATATTAAAATCCTGCTAGAATTTTGACTAGGATTGTGTTGAAACTATCTATCAATTTGGGGAACATTTATGTTCTAAATATTGGTTTCCAGGGCATGAAGACAGTGTATCTCTCCATGTATTTGGGTTATCTTTAATGTTTCTCAGTATTCCACAGTTTTCAGTGTACAGGTCATGCACATCTTTTGTCAGATTTATTCCTAAGAGTTTAATATATTTTGATGCTACTTTAAATGGCATTGCTTTTAAAATTCCAATTTCTGGTTATTTGTTGCTAGTATAAAATGCAATTGGTTTTTGTATATTGTTCATGTATCCTGCAACCTTGCTAAACGCATTTATTAGTTCTAATAGCTTTTTTTGTATTTTATATTGAATTTTCTACATAGATGTTCATTTTGTCTGTGTGCAGTTTTGCTTCTTTCTTTCTATCCTGGACGTATTCTATCTCAGCTTCTTGTCTGGCTAGGATTTCCACAACAATGTTAAATGTAAGCGTGGTGAGAGCAAACATCCCATCTTGTTCCTGATAAGACAAACAAGAAAGCATTGAGTGTTTCGTTACTAACAATGATGTTAGCTGTAGGATTTTTCACAGATGCCTTTTATCAGGATGAGGAAGCTCCCTTCTAAATGTTCCAAATGTAAATATATGACTTCATCAGATGTATTTACTGCATCTATTGACATGATCATTTATTAATATGGTGCAATACATTGATTGATTTGAGGATGTTCAACCAACCAACCTTTCTGAGATACATTATATTTGTCCACGGTACAATATAATTTTTATGTATTGTTGGAACTGATTTGCTAACATTTTGTAAAGAACTTTTATATCTAAATTCAAAAAGAATATTTGTTTATAGTTTTTTTGTAATATCTTAGTCTAGCTTTGGTATCAAGGTGATACTAGCCTTATAAAATAAGTTGGTAACTAGTTCCTACTCTTCAATTTTCTGAAAGAGTTTAAGTATAATTGGTAATATTTCTTCCTTAGAGGTTTGAACAAAAAACTTCAGAGAAGCAATCTGGGGTTAGAGTTTCCTTTGTAGGATGAGCATTTAATTAAAATTCAATTACTTCAATAAATATAGAGTTATTCAATTATCTGATTCTTCTTGAGTGAGCTATAGCAATTTGTATCTTTCAAAAAAATTCTCATTTCATCTCAGTTACAAAATTTATTAGGTAATGCTGTACACAGTATTCCCTTACTCCATTTTTAATTTTTACAAAATCTGTGCTGATATAGTTTCTTTCATACCTGATATTAGGAATTTGTCTCTTTTTTGTTTTGATGATCAGCCTGCTGGAAGTTTATAAATATTTGGTTTCATAGATTTTTCTCTATTTTTTTTTGTTTTATTGATGTTCACTCTGATCTCTAGTATTTCCAAAATTGTTTTTTGTGTTTAATTTGCTCTTGTTTTTCCAATTATTAAGGCAGAAGCTGGGGTAGTTAATTAATCTAAAATCTATTCTCTTTTCTACTATAGTGTTTAATCCCATAATTTTACACATAAATATTGCCTTATCAGCATTCCACACATTTTGAAATATTGTTTTCACTCTCACTTAGCTGAAAATGCATTGGTTTCTCTTTTGAAATCTTCTTTAGCCCTTGCAATATGTAGACATGTGTAATTTATCATCTTAATACTTGACGTTTTTCCAGAAAAGTTATTATTATTAACTTCTAATTTATTTCCAATGTGGTCCAAGAACATACTTCATAGGACTTAAATCACTCCAAATATTCTGAGACTTGCTTTCTGGCACAGAATGTATTCTATCTTGATAAATATTCTGTGTTTGCTTGAGAAGAGTTTATATTATGTGACTGTCAGGTGGACTGATTTATAAATATCAATAAAATCAAGTTATTTGATAGTTTTATTTTTTTAAGTCTGCTGTATCTTCACTGATTTTTTTTCTACTTGTTCTACTAATTATTGATAGTGAGTATTGTAATCCCCAACTATAACTGTGGAGAAATAGACAACTATTTCTCTTTTGAGTTCTATTGGTGTTTGTTTCGTTTGTGTTGAAGCTCTGTGATGACATACGTAGTGCTTGTTATTCTTAGAATTATCACGTCCTCCTGAGAAGCGGACCCTGTTCTCCTTATAAAACGACATTCTTCATCCCTGATATTCTCTTATCTGATGTCTACTTTATCTGATATGAATATAGCCACTCCAGCTTTCATTTGATTCATGGTAACTCTTTTTCAATCTTTTACTTTTAATATGTTTGTATCTTTACATTTAAAATGTCTTTCTCACAGGCAGCATGTACTTGGGTCTTCATTTTTTTCATCAAAGCTGACAATCTCTCCTTTTAATTGGGATGCTTAGAACATTTAACAAGATTTTTGAAATGGTTATGTTACACCTGTGATCTTGTTATTCATCTTTTACTCAATCCATCTGTTCTTTGCTCCCCTTTCCTGTTTAGTGCCCTGTTTTGGATTTTGTTGTTGTTGTTGTTATTCCATCTCATCTTCTTTGTTGGCTTATATGATAACAAAACTTTTTGTTTTGTTATTTCAGTGGTTGCTTTACAACTCTAAGTTACTGCAGCCTACTTTCACATGTTATCTTACTTCATGTGTGGTGTAAGAACCTTCCAGTAACATGCTTTCATTTTTCCTTTCCTGGCCTTTCGCTATTGTTGTCCTGCATTTCACTTACACATAAATTACAAACTACACAAAACACTGTTGTTATTTCTGTATAAAATTCAATTATTATTTCAAGATTTTTTAATGGAGGGGTCTTATACATCTTCCTATACAGTTACTTTCCAGAGCTCTTCATCCTTTATTACAGATCAATATTTCCATCTGATATCATCTTTCTTCTGCCTGAGGAGTTCCTATTTTATTTCCTGTGCAGCAGGTCTGCTGGTGATACGTTCTTACAGTTTTTTTCTGCCTGGATATATCTTTATTTCCCCTTCATTTTGGAAAGTTATTTACACTGGTTACAGAATTCAGAGTTAACAGTATGTCCTCTTTTAGAATTTAAAATATTTTTTCTATATCCTCCCAGATTCTGGTATCTGTGATGAGAACTCTGGCAGCATCCTTTGTTAATCTTTATGTATGGTGTGTCCCATCCCTCTATGTCTGTATCACTAGGGTTCAATACTTTGATTACTATGAACCTTTGTGGAGTTCTTCATATTTCTTATAGGTGGGCTTTACTGAGTTTCTTGGATAAGAGATTTATAGTTTATATCAAATTTGAAAACATTTTGGCCATTTTTTTGTATTATTTTTTCTGTCCCTCCTCTTTTCAGTCCTTCTAGGACTCAAATTACATGTATTATTGGCTGCTTGAAGGTGTTCTACAGTTTAGTTTCTTAAAATCCTTTTACTCTATTTCCTTTTGGATAGTTTTTATTGCTATGTCTTGTATTTGGCAATGTTTAATCTGCTATTAATCATGTTCCGTGTATTTTTCATCTCAAATTTATAAGAGTTTTTGGGTGGGCATGGTGGCTCACACCTGTAATCCCAGCCTTTTGGGAGACTGAAGTGGGCTGATCATTTGAGCTCAGGAGTTTGAGACCAGCCTGGGCAACAAGATAAAACCCCGTGTTTACAAAAATTAGCCAGGTGTGGTGGCACATGCCTGTAGTCCCACCTACTCAGGAGGCTGAAGTTGAGGATAGCTTAAGCCCAGAAGGCAGAGGTTACAGTGAGCCGAGATCACGCCACTGCACTCCAGCCTGGACGACATAGCCAGACCCTGTCAAAAAAAAAACAAAAACTTTCATAACCAATTATATAACCATTCTACTACTTAGAGGAACAAAAAAGTCAATAATTCACGATTTAAAAGCTACTAAAAACATAAAATATAAAACTATGCACTAAGGAGTTTTATATATAAATTTACCCATTAAATAAATATGTGTATGTACTTCTTTAATTTAAAAAATTCTAATGACTTACAGTTTATACCACAAGATTATTTATACAAACAGATTATTCTCATTCCAGAGTGGGCTTTTTGGGGGATGAAGTTTACTAAGCAATTTACAATGTTCTGTGAAAATCATCAGCTTTTTCAGGTTCTGTAGTAAAGTTATAAAAGTTCTAGGCACCATATCTTTTTAAACCATAAGAAAATACGAGGGCACATGTGTGTATGTATGTATGCATGAATGCTTTTATGGCAGTTTTATTTGTAATTACCAAAAACTGGAAACAACCCAAATGAACTGGGGAATGAATACAGAACCTGTTGTATATCCATACAACGCAATGCTACTAAGCAACAGAAAGTAATTACTGATACATAAAAACATGGATGAATCTCAAAATACATTAGGTTAAATAAAAGACGTCCGTCTCAAGAAGCCACATACTGAGTCAAGCAGGGGGATCCCTTGAGACCAGGAGCTTGAGGCCAGCATAGGCAATATAACAAGGCCTCCCATTTCTATTAAACAAACAAAAATTAAAACAAAAAGGCTAAATACTGCGTGATTTTGTTTACACGGAATTCTGAAAAGAAAAAAAAAAAAAGACAAGACAGAGAAAAAAACAGATCAGTGGTGGCCAGAGACTAGAGGTAAGGAAATGGGCTGACTATGGAAAGGGGCATGAGGAAATTTTTTGAGAAACTAACTCTATATCTTGATCATCATGGTGGTTGCACAACTAGATGTGTTTCCCAGTCTTACAGAACCATATTCAAATACACCTTAATAAAGATAATTTTCAACCATACATATGATAGAATCATAATTATTACTCTTATACTAAGACCAAATAGATGCTGCTTAAACCACTGAGGCAAGAACACTAAACCTTGGTCTGATCTGCCTCCAAGTTTGAAAACTCCCTTCCATTAACATTTTGCCTAAAAATTAAACAATATTTGTAAATTAGTCACAAAATCCTTTAAGATTAAAATATACATATATTCTTAAAGAAAACTACCTAGTGCTTGCAACCAAGTCATTTTAGGAGAAAATTAGCTTTGTTAAGAAGGGAATAAAGCCCAAGTAATAAATATTAACATCCATCTTTTCCAGAATCATGATGGTCAAAACAATGAGACTCTTCTCCTAATTTTGGTTCAAAATACCAAAATTTTTACTTCAAAAACTCTCTAACAGATTATTATAAAATCTTAACATTTGCCTAAAAGTCTTTAAGTATTTTCACATAACTAGGCAGTATAACAAAAAAAGAGCACAGGCTTAGGCTGGATGCAGTGGCTCACACCTGTAATCCTAGCATTTTGGGAGGCCAAGGCAGATCGCTTGAGTCCAGCAGTTTGAGACCAGTCTGGGAAATGTGGCAAAACCCCGTCTCTATAAAATACATTAAAACGTGGCCCATACCTGTAGTCCCAGCTACTTCAGGGGATGAGGCAGGAGGATGGCTTGAGCCTTAGAGACAGAGGCTGCAGTGAGCCAAGATCACGCCACTCACTCCACTCTGGGTGATAGAGTGGGACCCTTTCTCAAAAAAAAATTTTTTTTTAAAGCACAGGCTCAAGAACTCAACCCACCTAGGCAAGTTATTTAACCTAATTTTCCATCGATTGTATCATCAGTAAAATTGGGATAATTTTACCTACCTCTAGGAATAATCCTAGACTATTACATGAGTTAATACATGTATTATAATAAATCACAGGGTAATGCCTGGCATAGTTAACTAAGTCTCAATACCAACCTAACATAAATGAATGACACCAATAATCACCAGCTGTGTAGTCTTTGCATACCACAATTCTGCCCTGTAAGGTAAGTGGCCTAAATTCAATGGCCTAAATAAAGACCTATCTAGTAATACTACTCTATATTCCTATTATTTTACCTGAATTGCACCTACCTAATTCAGTTTGCAAAAGAAAGGTTAAGTATTTTACCTCTTATATATAAAAAAGTGAACTATAAATAAGTTAAATGACTTACCCAAAGAAACAGTAACTTGAAGGCAGAGCCAAGATGAGGATTTGGTATTGAGACTCCTTAAAACTTTGTCCTCTCCAAAATTTTTAGCCCTCCATGAATTCCTTCCCTCCTAACAAAGATACGGGTATAATGCACCCCCAAAAACCTCCAATTTAATAATTTAAAAATTTCATTAAGCTATACATTTGATTTGTGCACTCTTCTGTATGTTTTATATCATAATAGAAAGGTTAAGTGGCTTATTACCTAATACACTAGTATTCACTTGTATTCACATATGAATACATACACTTGTATTCACATATGAAGAGAAGTAGTGGAAAAGTTACATTAAAAGCTAAAAGGTGACAAACTAAGCAGATTATGTTCTTTAAAATTTTGTGAGAGGCAAAAGTTTTTAACTGAGGTATATAATACATGTACAAAGAAGTGCACACTTCCTAAGTCTACTATTCAATGATTCTCATAAACTGAACACATCCATGAAATCATGACCCAGATCAAGACAGAGAACATTACCAGCACACCTACAATCTCCCTTGTCCTCATCACCAAAGATAACCATTATTCTGATTCCATTCCCATCTGTTAGTTTTGTCTGTTTTTTAAGCTTTACAGAAATGGAGTGCTCGCTTCGGCAGCAAATATACTAAAATTGGAACAATACAGAGAACATTAGCGTGGTCCCTGCACAAGGATGACATGCAAATTGGTGAGGCTTTCCATCTTTTTATTATTACAGTAGTCTGTATTATTTCATATCCAAAAAAATGATCAATATGAAGAATGGGATGAACTAATTAATACTGTGATTGAAGACAATAGCATTATTTGCCTGGGAAACTAAAGACAAAACAACTGGAAAACTACTAAAACTGTTAAAGGAGTCAATTTGCTACTTATGGAATAAACATATACTGTATTCACAGTAACATATATTATGGAATTAAAATCACATTTCTGGCTGGGCACAGTGGCTCACATCTATAACCCCAGCACTCTGGGAGGCCAAGGTGGGAGGATCACTGGAGCTCAGGAGTTCAAGACCAGTGTGGGCAACATAGTGAAACTTCCAAAGAATAGGACTAACTCCACGTGTAGCATCTACATGTGGACAAGCAGGAGTGTTTCCTGATTAAATAACCTAAGTGTCATCTCCATGAATGCATGTATACAACTTTGTTGGATTGAAGGCTCCTCATCTCAACCCCACTGGAGGTAAATGCTATAAAAGTAAGTAATTCAAGAAAGTTTCATCCAAATTAACTCATGTAAAACAAAAACAAAACAAGAAAAATTTGCCACATCAAGGTAATGTTATAAAATGTGTAATGTAACTACTGTCTTTATTTGTGTCTCACTTACAAAGTAGATCTGAACTATGGATTACTACTACTTACTTTGATTAAAAAAACACTGATGTGAGATATTTTTGTAAATTTTCTTTACCCAAAGGTTCACTGCAGCCATAAAAAAGAACAAAATCATATCCTTTGCAGCAACATGATGCAGCTGGAGATCATCATCCTAAGCTAAACATTGGGTAAACATGGACATAAACATGGGAACAATAGATACAGGGAACTAACAGAGAGGAGAGGATGGGAAGGGGCGAAAGCTCAAAACTGCCTACTGGCGGCTGGGTACAGTAGCTCACGCCTATAATCCCAGCACTTTGGGAGGCCAAGGTGGGTGGATTGCTTGAGTCCAGGAGTTCGAGACCAGCCTGGGTAACAGGGCGAAACCCAGTCTCTACAAAAAAATACAAAAAATAGCAGGGTATGGTGGCCCACCACTGTAGTCCCAGCTACCCCGGAGGCTGAGCTGGGAGGATCGGCTGAGCCCAAGAGGTCAAAACTGCAGTGACCAGTGATTGCAATATTGCAATCCAGCCTGGGGGACAGAGACCTACCTTGTCTCAAAAAACTTAAACAAAACTACGTGCTGGGTGCTATGCTTACTACCTGGGTGATGGGATCAATTGTACCCCAAACCTCATGCAATATACCCATGTAACAAACCTGCACACTATTATTATTGCGAGAAACAGAGCTAATTTAGAACAATATATATAGCTTGACCCAATTTGAGGAAAAATTTTACATTTGTATATTTGTTGAAAACAACTATCAATAAAGAACTAAAATTGCATACTATTCATTCATATGACTGAATACTACACAGCTATTAAAATTAATGAAGTAAGGCAGGTGCAGTGGCTCACACTTGTAATCCCAGCTACTCGGGAGGCTGAGGCTCGAGAATCACTTGAAACTGGGAGATGGAGGTTGCCGTGAGCCAAGATTGTGCCACTGCTCTACAACCTGGGTGACAGAGTAAGACTCTGTTTCAAAATAATCATAATAATAATACTACTAATAATACACATATATCAGCATAAATAAATGTAACTTTCCAATTACAGAATGTATGTACCAAAATATCACATAAATTTGAAACACAATAGTACTACATGTTAAATATATGTAGATATTTGTAGGAAGAATATAAGTGCATGAGCTAAAAAGATAAATAACTTCTGCATAAGAAAATAGGATCTAAGAGGATGACAAAAGGGACTCCAACCGTATGCATATTTTATTTTTAAAAACAAATTTAGGCCAGGCACAGTGGCTCACCCCTGTAATCCCAGTATTTTAGGGGGCCAAGACGGGCAGATCACTTGAGGTCGGTTGGAGACCAGCCTGGACAACATAGTGAAACCCCGTCTCTACTAAAAATACAAAAATTAGCCGGGAGTAGTGACAAGCTCCTATAATCCCAGCTACTCAAAAGGCCAAGGCACGAGAATTGCTTGAACTTGGGAGGTGGCGGTTGCAGTGAGCAGGGATTTTACCACTATACACCAGGCTGGGCAACAGAGTGAGACCCCATCTCAAAAATAATAAATAAAAACATATATAAATACACTTTTGAAGCAAATCTGATAAGATGTCAGCATCTATGAAATCTACTGAATGGGCTGGGTGCGGTGGCTCACGCCTGTAATACCAACACTTTGGGAGGCCAAGGTGGGCAGATCACGAAGTGAAGAGATAAGAGACCATCCTGGCCAACATGGTGAAACCCAGTCTCTACTAAAAATACAAAAATTAGCTGGGTGTGGTGGCGTGTGCCTGTAATCCCAGCTACTCAGGAGGCTGAGACAGGAGAATCACTTGAACCCAGGAGGCAGAGGTTGCAGTGAGCTGAAATTGCACCAGTGCACTCCAGCCTGAGCGACAGAGCGAGACTCCATCTCAAAAAAAAAAAAAAAAAAGGAAAGGAAAAAAGAAAAAAAATCTACTGAATTAGTACCTGGTGTTTGTTAAATTATTCTCCATATTTTTCTAAATTTTTGAAATATTTAAACTTTGCTCTAAAAAAGTCGAGATTTTGGAATTCAGAGACAGGCTTTGTAGATTCAGTACAGGATGTGTGTGTGTGTGTGTGATAAGCCTGTTATTCTGTACTATAAAATTTCTAACTAAAAAAAAATTATATTAGGTTGGTGCAAATGTAGTTGCAGTTTTCGTATTGTTGAAACTTGCTATTTGATACTGGAATACATTCTTAAATATATGTGGTTATTTATATACCATTTTAATGCACATTTCTCACCTTTTTTGCTAATAACATATTATTTGCTGTTTTATTCTGTTAGACAGTGGAAATTATATTATAAAAAAAAGCAAATTCAAGCGATTTTCTTGAGTTCAAAATGGGTCGCAAAGCAGTGGAGACAACTCGCAACATCAACTACACACTTGGCCCAGGAACTGTGCAATGGTGGTTCAAGAAGTGTTGCAAAGGAGACGAGAGCCTTGAAGATGAGGAGTGTAGTAGCCGGCCAGAAGAAGTTGGCACTGACCAATTGAGAGCAATCATCGAAGCTGATCCTCTTACAACTACACGAGAAATTACCGAAGAACTCAATGTCAACCATTCTACGCTTGTTTGGCAATTTAAGCAAGTTGGAAAGGTGCAAAAGCTTCTTTTTTTTTTTTTTTTTTTTTTTTTTTTTGAGATGGAGTCTCACTCTATCACCTAGGCTGGAATGCAGTGGCACCATCTGGGCTCACTGTAACCTCTACTTCCCGGGTTAAAGTGATTCTCGTGCCTCAGCCTCCCTAGTTGCTGGGATTACAGGCACCCACCACCACACCCGATTACTTTTTGTATTTTTAGTAGAGCTGGGGTTTCACCATGTTGGCCAGGCTGGTCGTGAACTCCTGGCCTCAAGTGATCTGCCCGCCTCAGCCTCCGAAAGTACTGGGATTACAGGCGTGAGCCACCACGCCCTGCCAAAAGGTGAAAAAGCTTGATAAGTGGGTGCCTCATGAGCTGACCAAAAATTTTAAAAATCGTCGTTTTGAAGTGTTGTCTTCTCTTATTCTACATAACGACGACGAACCATTTCTTAGTTGGATTGTGACGTTTGACAAAAAGTGTATTTTATACAACAACAGTGATGACCAGCTCAGTGGTTGGACCGAGAAGATGCTCCAAAGCACTTCCTGAAGCCAAACTTTCATCAAAAAGAGGTCAGGGTCACTGTTTGGTGGTCTGCTCCTGGTCTGATCCGCTACAGCTTTCTGAATCATAGTAAAACCAATACATCTGAGAAGTATGCTCAGCAAATCGATGAGATGCACCGAAAACTGCGAGGCCTGCAGCTGGCACTGGTCCACAGAAAGGGTCCAGTTCTTCTCCACGACAACACCCGACAACATGTTGCACAACCAACATTTCAAAAGTTGAATGAATTGGGCTACAAAGTTTTGCCTCATCCACCATATTGAACTGACCTCTCACCAACCGACTACCACTTTTCCAAGCATCTAGAAAATTTTTTGCAGGGAAAATGCTTCCACAACCATCAGGATGCAGAAAATGCTTTCCAAGAGTTCATCGAATCCCGAAGCATGGATTTTTACGCTACAGGAATAAACAAACTTATTTCTCATTGGCAAAAAATGTGTTGATTGTAATGTTTCCTATTTTGATAAAGATGTGTTTGGGCCTAGTTATAATAATTTAAAATTCGTAATCCAAAACCACCATTAATTTTGTACCAACCTAACAGTACCTACATTTATTACCTCAACTGCTCTTCAACTTTCTTTTTTTGAGACAGAGTATCCCTCTGTCACCCAGGCTGGAGGGCAGTGGCACAAATCTCGGCTCACTGCAACCTCCACCTCCAGGGGTCAAGTGATTCTCCTGCCTCAGCCTCCTGAGTAGCTGGGATTACAGACGTCCACCACCACGCCCGGCTAATTTTTGTATTTTTAATAGAGACGGGGTTTTGCCATGTTGGCCACGCTGGTCTCAAACTCCTGATCTCATCTGTCCACCTTGGCCTCCCAAAGTGCTGGGATTATAGACATGAGCCACGGCGTTCAGCCTAATCTTACTCTTTAAAAGAATAAAGTAAGGGCAGACAATAACGAATGTCTTAACCCAGAAATCTCACCTTTTTGAATGATGTTCTCCATTCACAGAAGCATTTAAAACACTACAAGTGTGCAGTAAACAGCAAAAGCCAACAAGCTCTAATCACTTAAACTCTAGAGAATATATGACACAGCTCTTCCTAAAATATCACCAGATGGGTATATAAACGTAGAACGGCTTAACTCCCAGCTGTATATTAACACCAAATCTCCAATAAGCCTATACTGTCATAATAAAAATCATTTGCCTAAATCTCTTCCAATTCATATTAGATGTATTAATATAAACCATATCCTACCTGAGTTGCTACAACTCCACTTGATATTTAAAACACACCACAACACACAAGCACACAAACACACATACACGGATACAGAACTTGGGAGTTCAGGCTGAGTTCTGCATTTACAGAGTTCATAGAAACCAATTTTTCTTAAGGTATCTTTCATAATTCTCAATCAGCTTATTAAAAAGAGAAAAACTAGATGGCTCAGTCCTCTTGTGTTTAACTGTGATCAAATCCCACAATGTCTTCAGTCATAGTAGAGTTCACAATGATAAAGTTCAAATAAGCTTACCTGCCCCATTCCTCCCATACTACTTCCTACAGCTGCCACTCGTCTTAGGAACTGGAGCCAGTTAACCACCCACTTTCTCAATGGTGACTGTGACCTAAACCTTCACAAGACATCCAGTGAAAAATAAAGACTTTAAAATAGCAGTTTTTGGCTGAGCGTGGTGGCTCAGACCTGTAATCCCAGCACTTTGGAAGGCCATGGGCGGATCACCTGAGGTCAGGAGTTCAAGACCAGCCTGGCCAACATGGTGAAATCCCATCTCTACTAAAAAATACAAAAATTAGCTGGCTGTGGCCAGCTTGTGCCTGTAGTCTCATCTGCTTGGGAGGTTGAGACATGAGAATCGCTTGAACTTGGGAGGCAGAGGTTATAGTGAGCTGAGATCGCACCATTTCACTCCAGCCTGGGTGACAGAGTGAGACTCTGTCTTAAAAAATAAAAATAAAATAGCAATTTTTCCTACTTATAAAAGTAATACATGCTCATTGTAGAAAAATGGGAAACTATAGAAGAATAAGAAGCAAAAAAGCCACATTATCCCACCGAGACAGAAATTAATCACTACTAATATTTCCATTCATGGCAATCCAGGATCTCTTCTGTATATCAAAGTGTATTAGTTCATTTACCAAACAGGATTTTAAGTACTGCAGAACAAGGGGGAAGTAGCATACTAATTCTTTGGAAGACTAATTTTCTTCAGTGTAAAGAAGTTACACTTACTGCTGAGTAAGTCAACCATATGTACAGGAAACTGGAGAGAATGACAAAGGTGAGGGAAATCATGCCTGCTTTTTCTTCATTCACTCACAGCAAACCATGGAGTCCATGTTTTGGGAACCATTATGTATGCAAAGACCAACTAATGAGTATGTTTCCTTTATAAATAGCAGCCTACTAAATAAACAAATACATACATACATATATACGAATATACAGTCTTGCCACAGGAGTTACACACACAGTGAAAGGAATGACATTAAGAGTATTTTTAAAATTATTATACTTTAAGTTTTAGGGTACATGTACACAACGTGCAGGTTAGTTACATATGTATACATGTGCCATGTTGGTGTGCTGCACCCATTAACTCGTCATTTAACATTAGGTATATCTCCTAATACTATCCCTCCCCGCTCCCCCCACCCCACAACAGGCCCTGGTGTGTGTGATGTTCTCCTTCCTGTGTCCATGTGTTCTCTTTGTTCAATTCCCACCTATGAGTGAGAACATGCGGTGTTTGTTTTTGTCCTTGCGATAGTTTGCTGAGAATGATGGTTTCCGGCCTCATCCATGTCCGTACAAAGGACATGAACTCATCATTTTTTATGGCTGCATAGTATTCCATGGTGTATATGTGCCACATTTTCTTAATCCAGTCTATCATTGTTGGACATTTGGATTGGTTCCAAGTCTTTGCTATTGTGAATAGTGCCGCAATAAACATACGTGTGCATGTGTCTTTATAGCAGCATGATTTATAATCCTTTGGGTATATACCCAGTAATGGGATTGCTGGGTCAAATAAATGGGATCTAATTAAACTAAAGAGCTTCTGCACAGCAAAAGAAACTACCATCAGAGTGAACAGGCAACATACAGAATGGGAGAAAATTTTTGCAATCTACTCATCTGACAAAGGGCTAATATCCAGAATCTACAATGAACTCAAACAGATTTACAAGAAAAAGACAAACAACCCCATCAAAAAGTGGGCGAAGGATATGGACAGACACTTCTCAGAAGAAGACATTTATGCAGCCAAAAGACACATGAGAAAATGCTCATCATCACTGGCCATCAGAGAAATGCAAATCAAAACCGCAATAAGATACCATCTCACACCAGTTAGAATGGCGATCATTAAAAAGTCAGGAAACAACAGGTGCTGGAGAGGATGTGGAGAAACAGGAACACTTTTACACTGGTGGTGGGACTGTAAACTAGTTCAACCATTGTGGAAGTCAGTGTGGTAATTCCTCAGGGATCTAGAACAAGAGTATGTTTTTTGTCACCATGAAAGTATCTTAAGAGACAGTAAAGGGATATGTGAAAGGTTGATCTAAAATTCATGACCTCTTCCACAAAAATAGTTTCTGTGCACATAAGATGAAGGAACAATCTAACTACGGAAAACGTAACTGTTGATTTTATAATGCTATAACTTATTTACACGTATAAATAAATATGCAGGAGTTTAAACAGTTAGTCCACAAATATCGATAGCTTACTCTGTACCAGGCAATGTATTAACTGCTAGGGAGTAAGGGAGAGAACAGCCACCAGTCCCTATTTCTGCAGAACTTTCAATCTGTCTCTTGAAGTATGATGTCAAACACTAGGCATGTGGCCTCAAGCAAGTCACAACAGTCCTGATTAAATGATGATCTCAAATCCTTGTGATGATCTAAGAAGATATATGTGAAAGTAGCTTATAAATCATGTTACCTAAAGTAAAAAGAGATATGTAGCCATTTGTGCAAAGCACTGTTTATAGCAATCATCTTCAATAGAAATTATCTTTATTTATTTATTTATTTTTTGAGATGGAGACTCGCTCTGTCACCCAGGCTGGAGTGCAGTGGCGTGATCTCGGCTCACTGCCACCTCTGCCTCTGGGGTTTAGGCCATTCTCCTGCCTCAGCCTCCTAAGTAGCTGGGACTACAGGCACCCACCACCACGACTGGCTAATTTTTTGTATTTTTAGTAGAGATGGGGTTTCAACTGTGTTAGCCAGGATGGTCTCGATCTCCTGACCTTGTGATCCGCCCACCTTGGCCTCCCAAAGTGCTGGGATGGCAGGTGTGAGCCACCGCGCCCGGCCCCTCATTTCTTTTAACTGGCAAAAAATAATCACTCAAGTTGCTTAATATAATCTCTTTTGACAGTCTCTAAGATTTTGATATTATCTTTCTCTGCCAATGACCCATATGAAGTAACTGAAATTAATTTTCCCATGATGGGGGAGAAAAGATTCACTTTTTTCTAATACAAAAAGCTTTATTTCCTGATTTCATAATTTATAGGGGTTAGGGGGCAGGCAGCCACAGATCAAAAGCAACTTATTCAAACTCAAGAAAAAAATTATCTTTTAATCTAAGAATCACCATGGAAAGTTTGTTATAGGCTCAGGCTAATCCAAATAGTTAGTGACAGGTTAATTGTGGTACTTTGAAAGCAAAGGAGAGCAAGTAGCAATTATTCTTCCCTTCACTCAGTCTCTAACACCTAACCTCTTAAAAAACAGGGAGATATATATTATAGCCAAATTGCTTTCCAAAAAACATAATTTTAAAAAATATGCTCTACACAGTATCAACTGTTTGTATCTAAAAGAAATAGACTATTTACATTGCTTTTTATCCTACGATTTATCCTTTTCAAATTCAGCCACCTCAACGATGCAAAAAAGTATCAAACTGATGCTTTAAATTTATTTTTGCCCTTATTGCAGATACGACTCTAAAGAGCATGGGGAGTTTCTTTTTTTTTTTTTTTTTGAGATGGAGTCTCGCTCTGTCACAGACGTTGGAGTGCCGTGGTGCAATCTCGGCTCACTGCAACCTCCACCTCCTGGGTTCAAGAGATTATCCTGCCTCAGCCTCCCGCGTAGCTGGAACTACAGGCGTGTGCCACCACGCCCAGCTAGCTTTTTGTAGTTTTGTAGAGATGGGGTTTCACCGTGTTAGCCAGGATGGTCTCAATCTCCTGACTTCATGATCCACCCGCCTCGGTCTCCCAAAGTGCTGGGATTACTGGCGTGAGCCACCATGCCCGGCCTAGCATGGGACATTTTAAAGGCATTCATAATCCAACTAAACAGGACCACCTGCAAAACTAGTGAAATGCCCAAAAACAAACATCTATAAATGCCCAATATTAAACCTCAAGGGTCTAAAGCAGTAGTATCCAAAGCAAGTATAACATACCTCCAGGAGATCGGGCATGGTGGCTCACACCTGGAATCCCAGCACTTTGGGAGGCTGAGGCTGGCGGATCACTTGAGCCCAGGAGTTCAAGACCAGCCTGACCAACATGGTGAAAACCCATCTCTACCAAAGAATACAAAAATTAACCAGGCATGGTGGCAGACACCTGTAATCCCAACTGCTCAAGTGGCTGAGGCACAAGAATCACTTGAACCCAGGAGGCGGAGGTTGTAGTGAGCCAAGATTACACCACTGCACACCAGTCTGGGTAACAGAGCAAGACTCTTGTCTCAAAAATATGTATATAGATCATATATTATTATATATACATATATATTATACATATACACACACACACATATACACATGCCTGCACACACACACACCTCCAGGAGTACCCAAGAAGCCCCAGGGTAAAAAAGGAAAATATTTGAACTTTATTTTTAATTATCATCCTTGTTAATTTTTTGTTTGTATTTTAAAGTCCACAATAATCAGTTACTATATGTTTATTACTTGTAAATTAAATATCTAAGGATTAAGAACTGATGCTCAATATTTTTCTTTTTCTCTTTTTTCAAAGCAACAACATGAAGTTGTATCAATTTTTTTTCCTGACTTCATTCTTCCCATCCCATCAGTTTTTTGTTTTTTTTTTAAAGAGACAGGGTCTCACTATGTTGCCCAGGCTGGAGTACAGCGGCGGTATTCATAAGCACAATCACAGTGAACTTTAGCCTTGAACTCCTGACCTCAAATATCCTCCTGCCTAAGCCAACTACGTAGCTGGGACCACAGGACCACGTACCACACCTGCTTAATGCTCAAAAGTTTTTGGTGATGGGGTAAGCAACGAAAGTTTGGAGACCACTGGTCTACACGACTCATTGTCACTGAACTTTCATTTTTATCAGCTCCCTCCCAAGAGTTAAGCTATGGAAGTAAGTCCTGATGCTGAAAAAGAAACAGAAGAAAAACTGTTTCAAACTATTTTGAACTCCCAACAAGCTAAAGATGACAAATCACTAGCAAGAATATATGGAATTGAATACTAATATGCTGTTGACGGGAATTTCAAATAGACATCCTATCTAAAGGGCATCTTGAGTATATCCACATTTAAAACACACATACCCTTTGACCTAATAAGCCCTTTTTTTTTTTTTTTTTTTTTTTTTTAGAATGAGTCTCACTCTGTCGCCCAGGCTGGAGTGCAGTAGCTTAATCTCGGCTCACTGCAGCCTCCGCCTCCTGGGTTCAAGTGATTCTCTGTGCATCAGCCTTCCAAGTAGCTGGAATTATAGACCCTCGCCACCACACCAGACTAATTTTTGTATTTTAGTAGAGATGGGGTTTCACCATTTTGGCCAGGCTGGTCTTGAACTGCTGACCTCAGGTGATCCACCCACCCGCCTTGGCCTCCCAAAGTGCTGGGATTACAGGCATGAGCCACCATGCCTGGCTAATAAATCCGCTTTTAAGAATTTATCCTGGGCCAGGCGCGGTGGCTCAGGCCTGTAATTCTAGCACTTTGGGAGGCCAAGACGGCCGGATCACGAGGTCAGGAGATCGAGACCAGCCTGGCCAACATGGTAAAACCCCATCTCTACTGAAAATGCAAAAAATTAGCTGGGCGTGGCGGTGCACGGCTGTACTCCCAGCTACTCAGGAGGCTGAGGCAGGAGAATCACTTGAACCTGGGAGGCAGAGGCTGCAGTGAGCCAAGATCATACCACTGCACTCCAGCCTGGGTGACAGAGTGACTCTGTCTCAAAAAAAAAAAAATTATCCTAAGGAAATAATAGGACAATTCAATGCCCAAACAAGTTCATCACAGTACTACTTTAAGAGAAAAATTGGCAATATCCATTAACAACACAGAACTGCTATAAACTATGATGCATCCATATTATAGAACACTAAATACTCATTTACTCATTGAGGGAATATCAATTTTACATGGAAAGTTGTTCTTTTTTAAGGTATTTCAATAGGTATGCATAAGAAAAAAAATGAAAACACCAAACATCACATCCAGATGGGATTACAGGTTATCTCTACTTTTTTTAAAAAAGAAAAACATTAAAACTGTTCTGGGCCAGATGCATTGGCTCACGCCTGTAATCCTAGCACTTTAGGAGGCCAAGGCAGGTGAATCACCTGAGGTCAGGAGTTAGAAACCAGCCTGGCCAACATGGTGAAACCCTGTCTCTACTAAAAATACAAAAATTAGCCAGGTATGGTGGTGGGTACCTGTAATCCCAGCTACTCGGGAGGCTGAGGCAGCAGAATTGCTGGAACCCAGGAGGCAGAGGTTGCAGTGAGCTGAGAAAACGCCACTGCACTCCAGCCTGGGTGACACAATGAGACTCCATCTAAAAAAAAGTTCTGTAGCTTTCATAATCAGAAATAATTTCACTTTGAAATTTAAAATGAGATTAAGTTAAAACTCCAAATTATTGTCCTGTATCACTTCTAAAACTCTTTGTAAACACTCTGTCTTCCCATGTCATTTGTGGATCAGTCTAAATACTTAATCTAATATTTGGTTTATCTCATGGAAAAATGATAGGCATATAATAAACAACAACCCTGTTTCAAGTTAACCATCTTGTCTTTATACCAATTCTTGCCAGTTATGTCATGATTTATCAATATACTTATAACTTCCTTATATTCTGCCAGATTATAAATCTATGAATAATTCTGAAAATTATTCAGAAATTTCTATCTCTCTTCTGCAACTAAGTTACAAAAGTATTAACTACTTCGGGAGGCTGAGGCAGGGAGAATCACTTGAACCTGGGAGGCGGAGGTTGCAGTGAGGCGAGATCATGCCATTGCACTCCAGTCTGGGTGACAGAGCAAGACTCTGTCTCAAAAAATATATATATATGTATTAACTACTAAAGAAATTAGATTTAGACCCCAGATAAGTGAAATCAGAAAAGCTTGCTACCATCTGTCATAACAGAATCATTCTGAATATCTATAGTTATCAGATCAAGACAATACCTGTGTGGTTAACAAGTACTCCACACTCCATCTTAAGGGAAAAGAGTACTTAAGAAGATTATTATAGCATAAGTTTATGTGCTTTGTTCATTAATTCAACAATTTAGAACAAAGCTATGAGGTATTTCACCGCTAACAGAATAGCTTTAAGGTAACCCATCTTCACAATTTTCTCTTTGTTTTCATTTGTTTCATGCCTTATTATTTTATAGACAGTCTTTCTATCGGCATTGCACAAGTACTATGTCCCTAAACAACTACGACCAAGTTTTATCACGACCCAAAAGAAAAAATAACTTTCTAGGCCAGGTGCAGTGGCTCATGTCTATAATCCCAGCACTTTGGGAGACCAAGGCAGGACTACTCAAGCCCAGGAGTTCAAGACCAGCCTGGGCAATGTAGCAAAACCCTGTCTCTACAAAAAATGAAAATAATAATTTTTAAAAAGAAAAAATACATTTTACACGGCAACCAAGTATACATACATAAACATATCTTTTAAAAAGAAAGAAAAGTTTCCCAAATCAATATTTACTTTTACTTTACACAATGTACTGATATATTCTTTTTTAAAATGCTTTTTAAAATAAGTACATTGATTTCATTACCCTATGACACTGCCACCTGCTACTTAAAAATGTAGCCTTAAAACTTTATGCAGAGTGTGCTAAACTCCTTGCTCCTACCACCTTCTCCCACGACTCCAACATAAGAAAATGGGTAAAATCTAGCAAGTCTATTCTAAGTACAGACCTTGGCATAAATGTGAGACACCCCAGGTTCCTCTGAAGTCCCTGCAACATTGTGATTATTCCAACTGGCAGACAGGATACATTTGCTGAAAGGTTTCTCCAGCCAGACTACAGAAGCAGAAACCTTTTCTGTTGCCTTATCAGTGATATTGCTAAATTCTGCACTTGACAATGTGGACCAGGTTTACTACTGCTCCACAAGCCAATTCTTCCAAGAAATAAAACAGGATTCCAGTATAATAGGATTCTAATACCAGACCCTTACATTTTTTGAATACTTTTCAAACACATTATTCCGTTGCATTCTCCCCCTGGCAGTCTGTTAGAAAAGTAGAGAAGCTGCTCTTCTTCCTTTCACTAATGAAGGAATTGGAGCTCAGAGGGGTTACGTGGCTTGCCAGAAACAACACGGCTAATGAAGAATACAACGCAGGCTTGAACCCAAGATTTACTCATCTATCCACTTTTATGCTACAATTTTCATTTTTAATATCTGATACAAGTATGAACTTAAAAAGTATATTGTTTCTAGATACAAAAGCAAAGGTGAAAGCATGATATCAATATTGATGATACCAAAAAATTAAGATTAAATATAGCAATGACATGTTAATAATTTTGGAGGCCTCTAAAGTTACTGGCAGTCCTAGTTCAATCCAATATGAATCTGATATCATCTTATATCTTCAATCAATGTTACATGATTATAAATTTATGTATATATTCACCATAGAAAATTACAGAATTGGGTGGTAAGAAACAACTAGCTATATAAATTGCACATACTCCCCCAAATCATTCTCAAGTCTTGTGGCTTCACACTAAATTATGAAGTTCCCAATGTAAAACCTGATTTGATTTCAACACTAAGCGAATTACAACAGCATAAGCATGTTCTTACTACATAATACTTGCAACATACATTCAATTTCCGAAGCACTTTTGGACAATGTCTAAAATCCATAAGCTAAAAGCAGAACCCAACACAGAATCTTGTTTCTTTTAAATGGCAAAGGTTAGTCTACCTATATGAGATGAATACCAAATAACATAATTAGAACTTATTAAAAATTTACAGAATCAGGCTAGAGAAACTACTTGAGGTCAAAGACTATAGGCCCTTAATTGTATAGATGAGAAAATTGATGCCCAGAGAAGTTAAGTGACATTCCCAACAGCAATTAATGACACAGATGGAATCAGAATATATGTCTATCTGTCAATCCAGAACTTCCCATTATTCTATATTACCTCTGCATTTAATGTGCTCTTAAAAAAGTCACTAACATCTAAAACACTTAAGACACATTAAGACTCAAAAACCAGGGGACACAACAATGTTCACGACAGTCTTTAGAAAACAATTTCTTAAAGGAATCTCAAAAATTCCAAACAACAAGCACTGAAAGCTGGCTCTTTATTTTTTTTATTTTCTTTCCTATCCAGAGCCCTACTTGATCAAAAACTGGCTCTTTAATCCATTGCAAATTATCAAGTAGCTTTTAATAACTAACATGGCTATAAACCACCATAACTGTTCTTTTTTCCATATCAATACTATTCACTTACTAAAAAAAAAAATCTGAGGGTATAGAATATGCTGATAACTGTGCTGGGTATTGGCGACACCAGGGAACAAAACAGACGAGGCCTCTGGCTCTTCTAATGGACAGCTGGGTGCAACTCTCTAAAAATACTACTTCATGATTTGACAGGATATTTGCCAAAGTCCTTCACTACTCTACACAACTATAACAACATTTTCTTCCACCTCTTCCAAACTTATAATAACCTTCACCACACCCCCTCTAAAACGTGAATACGTCCTTTGGTAACTCAGCATTCTACTTCACTAAAGAAGGTGTGAACGTGTTAACTAGAACTACAGCAGATTTTTAAACTGACTTTACCACTCCTCATGGCCTGCGGTAAATTTCAAGAACTTTTCACAATCTGTAGTAACCCTTCCTGGTTCACAACCCTGATCTCAAATGACTGCTAACACACCCATCCTACCCTCCACTAGAAATCTGAGTCAGATGGTTTAGGAGCAACCATGTTAGGGAGCATCTTCAGTGGACCCCTTTATGAGCCAGAAGCTGACTTACTTCCTCTCCTTCTCTGTTTATTTCCTCTGGATTCTTGTGTATCTCTGGATACAATGTATCTCCAATTAATCAGCATCTAATTTTATCAAGTGTGTTCCTGATAACTTGTGCACAAATTAACTTTTGGCAGCAAATCTGTTTCACCTACACAAATCCATTATATTTTAAGAGATGCTCAATTTGCATCCTTTAAGTTTCTCATGCTTCCCCTTCTCCACTTCTTAAATTCTTAAAAAGCTATAAACAAAAGCACCCTGGGAAGCCATAATTAATGGGAATTCTTTGGAATACCCAACCTAAAGCAAAAGTTCACATGCCTTGCTGACCACAATCAATCAGGGAGCTTTGTAAGGATGGATTCCCAGGCCCTATCCTCAGAGATTTTAATTCATTAGGTCCTGCATAAGTTCGAGGAACTTAGGTAGTCCATAATATTGCTAATGACCAGCCTTAAACTAGACAACCACTGAAGAACCTGGCCTATGAGCTGAGAAACTTGGGTTCTTTTATGGCAGGCCATTAACGACAAGTGGGGCTGTACCACTGTGCTGGTCACTTGAAGTTCTCTGAGTCACCTGAAACTGAGGGAGTAATTGCAGCCAAAAGAGGTCTGTCGTCATAGGCAGCCAATCTAGAATTCTAGAATCCTCCAAATTTAGTTTAATATCACATACTATACTGGGTTACTCAAAACAGTGTCATTCTGGCTGGGGGTGGTGGCTCACGCCTGTAATCCCAACACTTTGGAAGGCCGAGGCAGGTGGATCACTTGAGGTCAGGAGTTCCAGACCAGCCTAGCCAACACGGAGAAATCCCTGTCTCTACTGAAAATACAAAAATTAGCCAGCCGTGGTGGCGCACACTTGCAATCCCAACTACTTGGGAGGCTAAGGTGGGAGTATTGCTAGAATCCGAGAGGCGGAGGTTGCAGTGAGCAGACATCACACTACTGCACTCCGGCCTGGGCGGCAGAGCGAGATAACGTCTCAAAAAAAAAAAAAAAAGTGTCATTCTGTAAACTCTTCTAGCCTGCCCAAGTCATAGGCCCTATAAAGGGAAGACTTTCTGCATGCCATCAATGTCTCCTGTCCTACTGAACAGCCCTGAATCTGAAGGGGGATGGTCCCCCACCACCTCTCCACGGACAAATCATAAACATCTAACATTTTAAAAAAATCATCTCCTGTAATTCAACCCAGGCCTCTCATGGCATTACCATTCACATAAGAGAAAGTTGAACCTCAACTGCAAAAGTATATGGTTTGGGGGTGTTGTTTTGTTTGTTTGGGTTGTGGAAAAACAGATGTCAGAAAACAAAGTGGATATCAAGATACTAGAACAGTAAGAATTTAGGCCTCGGTCTGGAAACGACATTTGAACATCAATATGTAATAGTAGTTCATGTCCAAAACTCACAAGTGAGATTATCAAACTCCAGGGGAGTCTATTAATGTGGCCATAAAATCTACCCCATAATTTTGACATAACTTTTCCAGCCCAAAATACGACTGACATCATCTTATGGGTCCGGAAATACCATACATCAAGGAAAATTTCTACCGGAGAAATAACACTGTAATCGTTTGGGGAGCAGTCTGACCAGTGTTCCCTGAGTTACGCCAACCGCCCCCAACCATCCTTCCCACCTATTACCAGGTCAGGAGGATGTCCTGCTGCACGCTCAGGCGGTCGCTCCTCCTTTCCACAAGACCCAGGCCCGCACCGTTCGCCCCGGGGCTCCCATGGCCCCCGACCTCCAGTCTCCAGCAACGATGGATCCCCACAGACCAGGCAGGGGGCGAAGGGCGCACACCCACCTCCCGGGAGTCAGTGGGAATAACCCGGGCGCTCCCAGGGTACGTCCCACACCCGGAGCCGCACGGGCCCATCCCCGCCAGGTCTGGGCAGGCAGCCGGAGCCCGGGACCCCGCCTCCCCCGCACCTAGGGTCCCGGCCGAGCTCGACCGCTGAGGTCCCGTTCCCACTCCCACTCCCAGCGCCTCCCCCTGGCGGCGGCGGCCGCCCGGGACGCCCCTCCCCGGGCGCTGCCTCCTCAGAGGGTGACAGCCGCCTGGCCGGGGCCATAGAGGCCGGCCCCTCCTCCAGCTCCTCCTCACCCCGGGAGGAGACAGGGGACGGGGATGGGGTTCTTACCAGGCAGCAGGACATGGCAAGGCCCGCCACGGCACAGCCTCCTCCTCCACCATCTCACCAGGCTCCCTGCCAGGCCCGGCGCAGGGCAGCGACTGAGCTACTAGGGCGTCTGGTCCGGCTGCTACTCCGCCGCCGCCGCCGCCTTCTCACAACCACAACAACACTGCAGCAGCGGCCACACAGAGTGCACTCCCGACGCCGAGCCGGGCGACGAGCGGAGACGCGCGCGCAGGCTCGGGCGCTGAACCGGGTGTCCGGGAAAGGGGGCGGGTCTCCGGGAAAGGGGGCGGGTCTCCGCCTGGTGGACGGGGGCGGGGCCTGGACAGGTGGTCACGCCCCAGGAGATAGGCGGGGCTGCAGCCCAGACGAATACCAGCGTTTGGGGAGAGGCTCGCGAAAAAGCCCAGCGGAGGCAGAAGGGCTAGACAGATGGGAATTGGGCGCAGGAAAAGCGATGACAAAAATAAATCTGGAAGAAAACCAAAGGTGGTCCTACAAATTTTTAGGAGGCGTCTTTCCCTGGGCAAGACATGGCTCACTCTACTTACCAGAAAAATAGAACAACAGTGGTTATCTTTCACCTGCAATTGTGGTCAGGATAAAAGCAGTTTAATATAGTGCAAGTAAATGTAGTGTTTTAGAAGATGTATTCAGGATACAATTTCTTTTTTTCATTTCTTTTTTTTTTTTCTGTCGCCCAGGCTGGAATGCAGTGACATCTCAGCTCACTGCAAACTCCGCCTCCCGGGCTCAAGTGATCCTCCCACCTCAGCCTCCTGAGTAGCTGGGACTACAGGCGCAGAACATCATGCCCCGCCAATTTTTGTATTTTTTGTAGACACGGAGTTTCTGCCATTTTGTCCAGGCTGGTCTCGAACTCCTGGGCTCAAGCAATCCACCCACCTCGGCCTCCCAAAGCGCTGGGATTAAAGGCATGGACCGCCGCACCCGGTCCAGAATACAATTTCAAGCTGATTCAACTTCAGCTCCTAATCAAAAGCTTAGCGGGAAGAAGTGAATTTTCAAACAAAATAAACCCCTCCCCCGCAAATTGTAACCTACCCACATTAGCCTGCAGAATTCCACAAACCAGGATTGCATTACCGCAGGCCCTAACAGATTCACCTCCTCTGAGTTGCCTTTTAACATTCTACCCTTGACTTTTCTGGAAACTGTCTGGGAGAGCTAGTCAAATGAAATCTATTCCTGCATCTGTTGTAAAGTTTTTCCACAGCACTTTCTGAAATTTATTTTCAATGTTTATTGTTTTTTCACTCCACTTAGAATGTAAAAGCTACTTGAAGATAAGGATCTTGTTTGTCTTGTTCATCACTATTTCCCCAGCACCTAGAACTGTGCAGGCTAAGTAGTAGGCAGTATAATTTCTTGATAGCTGGCTGGGCGCGGTGGCTCACGGCTGTAATCCCAGCACTTTGAGAGGCTGAGGCGGGTGGAACACCTGAGGTCAGGTGTTCGAGACCAGCCTGGCCAGCATGGTGAAAACGCGGATCTACTAAAAATGCAAAAATTAGCCGTGCATGGTGGCGGGTGCCTGTAATCGCAGCTAATTGGGAGGCTGAGGCAGGAGAATAGCTTGAACCTGGGAGGCAGAGGTTGCCATGAGCCAAGATTGCGTCACTGCACTCCAGCCTGGGTGACAGAGCGAGACTCCATCTCAAAAAAAAAAAAAAAAAAAAAAGGCTAACATTTATTCATACAACTCATCTAATTGAATCTTCACAACTTTAATAGGTAGACGCCGTTATCTCCATGTTACAGATGAAGAAAGTGAAGCACAGAATAAATTGCATGTATTAAAACAAAATTCAAACCCAAACCCAGCAGACAACAAACAAACAAACAAACAAACACACAAAAAACCACTGTACTCTCACTCACCAGGCTGTACTGCCCAGTGCATGACACAGTGGCCTGAAATAAAATCTCAAGTAAGAAATTACTTTAGGCCGGGCACAGTGTCTCATGCCGGAAATCCCAGCACTTTAGGAGGCCAAGGCAGGTGGATTGCTTGAGCTCAGGAGTTCCAGACCAGCCTAGGCAACATGGTGAAATCCCACCTTTACAAAAAATACCAAAAAACTGGCCAGGCATGGTGGTGCGTGCCTGTAGTCCCAGCTATTTGAGAGGCTGAGGTGGGAGGATGGCTTGAGCCTGGGAGGCAGACGTTGTAGTGAGCCCTGATTGTGCCACTGCACTCCAACTGGGTGTCAGAGCGAGAAAAAAGAAAGAATGAAAGAAATTACTTTAGAGGTAAATTCTTGGAAAGCCCTTGCTTTACTACCAGAAAAACCAGTGCGCTTCCTGCTTTTTGATAACTCTTATGCAGCTGGTTGTGTCTCTCTTTTCACTCTGGCTTCCAGAAAGCCCAGGGCTAAATGTGAAGCTCAGCAATGACCCCTGCTTGGCCCCTAAGGTCCACTCTTGCCTCGACTTTGCACCTTTATTTATATGTGGCTGTCCTGATTTTCCCTTTGTGTTATATGACTGTAGGCTTTATGGAATGGGAGAAGAAATAGTAAACACATAAAATTGATGAATGACTTAAAGACTTTTATTTTATTTTTGAGACAGAGTTTCGCTCTTGTTGCCCAGGCTGGAGTGCAATGGCAGGAACTTGGCTCACTGCAACGCCTGCCTCCTGGGTTCAAGTGACTCTCCTGCCTCAGCCTCCTGAGTAGCTGGGATTACAGGCATGAGCCACAACACCCGGTTAATTTTTTGTATTTTTAGTAGAGACAGCGTTTCTCCATGTTGATCAGGCTAGTCTCGAACTCCCGACCACATGTGATCCGCCCGTCTCGGCTTCCCAAAGTGCTGGGATTACAGCTGTGAGCCGCCATTCCCGGCTTATTTTTATTTTTATATTTTATTTTATTTTCACACAAGGTCTCACTCTGTTGCCCAGGCTGGAGTGGAGTGGCTCACAGCCACCAGGTGATTTGGGCTCACAAGTCACCCTTGCTAAGAGGCAGAGTCCAGAGCAGAACCTGGGTAGATGCCAAAGGCAGCACTCCCTACTCCACACATGGGTTTCTGTCAAGTAAATCACCAGCCAGGTGAGGTGCATACAGCATCTAGGGAGATGGGACACCGTGTTGTCCCCTCCTTCAGCCAGGAGGCCCCACACTGAGCGCCACTGTCTCCACTGTCCGATGCTACAGGAGAAACGTTTCCTGCTGGTTAAGGAAGTAGAAACTGCAGATCACTTTTCATCTTATTGGAAATCACTCTTTGACACTCTTGCCTCATCTTCACTCAGTACACATTGACTCTACCAGCAATAGCGTAAAAATAAACACAGCTTAAGGAAATAGGAACCCTTTATTCCTGGGACTTAAAAGCTTGACTTTCTCCAGTAAGTCAATTACCAGTGCCCACGGCAGGAAGAGCTCTGATGCCAGGGTTGACAGCACGCTGGAAAAACGGAGGAGTGTTTGCATTTCTGGGGCCTCAAGTAATGAGAAGTTCTTCCAAGAACACTGACAGGGATATTGTTGCCCTATTTTAGAATTATTACTCTGAAGATCAGGGAATTTCAGGCGGTTGAACTCATGCCACAGCACCTGTGCTTTTCTGGTAGGGGAGGGATGGAGTCCAGCTCAGGAGTCCCCCGTCATGGGGGAAAGCACTGTGATGGGATGTCTGTGGGGGGATTAGAACCCTATAGCAGATGGGATAGGGTGGGGAGTCTACATATTTTTATTTGGATGCTTTGATGGAGTAAAGTTCCAAACCAAGCAAGTATCAGGCAGGGGGCAGTCCAGGCTGTGGTGCTGTGCTGTGAGGCTGGGAGTCCGGGCAGGTCCTGTGTTCACTGGTCACTTCCACAGCCTGAAGCCCCTCGAAAGGACATCTGCACAGAGGCCCGCTAGTGACTTCAGGATGCTGATGATGCCCTCAAGGTGAGAGCCAGAGAAAATCCCGTCAACTCTGCCAACCAAGGGCGTCAATGGCCACGTGTGTGGTTTTCTCCTGCAAAGAACAAGCCAGTTTGCAAACCATGCTTTTGAGGCTAGAAAAATGGCTGTATTCCTTCAGTGTCTCCTGAAGTCTGGGTCCCCTGAGAGTTGATTCAAATACTGTATTCTCGTAAAATATGGTAACATTTAGACCTGAAAAATGGCCTGGGGGATAATCTTATCAAACCTCTGATGTGGTTATTTTGTAACTGAGTATATTGAAGGCTGGGGAACAAAGCCATCTGGTGCCAGCATCCTAGCTGCTCTCTCTCCTCCAGGGGCTTGCCTTGGTTGGGGGCCTTTCCAGCAAAATTAGGCTGAAGAGATGAGATTTTAGTTAAACAAGGCCCACTGTTGCTTTAAGACAAAATGTCAAAGTTTTAAAAAATGTATTAACTTGTTCTTTTGGCCAAGAAATCAATAGATGCACTTCCTTTCCACTGTGCAGGCACTGAGCTGACAGAGGAGTAAGAGCTTGAACCATCTACGTGGTCTGAGTGACCACATCCTTCACTTGGAGCCCTGTTCTACAGCAGATAATTCTGAGTCACCCCAGCTAATGGCTGTGCACAGCATCCTGATGCTCTGATTAGGCTGAGGGGCATGTGGCGTGGTGGCTAGGCTGTCTCAGAGAGCACCTCAGGCTGGGTGGACCAGGCTGACCCAGAAGAGGGCAATGGGCCTTTGACAGGGACTAGCTGGCTACTATCTGCCTCTTCTGCAGTTTGGGACACTTAGGGTCATGGGTGAAAGTGTTTTTCCACATATGGTGGCCCGAAAGGAAAGGAAACTCATGCCAGTGTTCAGAAAGCGTGCGGGTTTCTCAGGTAACGTTACTGCAGCCACTGATGTCTAATCCAAAGAGCTCTGAATGCTTGCCATAGAGATTTGTAGTTTTAATACTGAAGCCCCGAATATTCTGATTTCCTCATTAAGACCGACCTAACATGAGCTATGCAGTCAGCTAAGGTATCAACGGGAGGAAATTGCCAGTGTTTCCCTCTTATTTTCCTCTGAGGTCATCTGAAAACAACCGCAGTGAGGACGGAGTTCGTGCGGCCCTGATGGCTGTGTGTTCCCAGCTCCAAGCATGCACGAAATATTTAATTCATTTGAATATAAATAAGTTAATGAATATGAATACATTAATAAATTAATTGGCATCGTTTTAGTCCTGTTGCAGTTTCAAACTCACCGATTTATCCAACTTCTTTGCACTGAGTTCTTATTCAAGTGAAGTATTCTGGTCTTGTGACTTGTACTTCTGACATAGTAATAGAACAACTAATATTTATTTAGAACTTTAGTTTACCAAGCACTCTACATTTTATTTTATTATTTATTTGTTTATTTTTTTTAGTAGAGACAGGGTTTCACCGAGTTAGCCAGGATGGTCTCGATCTCCTGACCTCGTGATCCACGCTCCTCGGCCTCCTAAAGTGCTGGGATTACAGGCTTGAGCCACCGCGCCCAGCCTACATTTTATTTTTACATTTTGTCTTTACAAACCCCCACGGGGCAGGCATTCTCCTTACACGCAGTGTTAATTGGTGACACAGAGGCTCAGGGGTTTAAATGGTTTCACTGTAAACAATGTAATCTAGTAGGATGTTGCTTTCCTATTTTTCCTAATACTACCATGTTTAGATGTGGGTGGCTGAGTGGGAGTATATGATTTCCTGTGTATGTATAGACGTAACCCACACTCACAGGCGGGAAGTTCTGCAGGCTGAGAAGCGAAGCCCTTTGCTGAACAACCACCACCAACATTCTAGGGCCCCCACACCCTTGGTTCTGCAGGCTACACCCCTCCCATCTGCTTAGAAGCAGAAAGAAAACTCTGCGGTTACTTTTCCCTTTGACAATAAGCCGCGGTTCTCTTCAACGTTCTCCTGGGGACTTGGGTCAATGTTCTCACATGCAAATGTTAGCCAGGCCCAGGGTTATTGTTTCCCCTACCCCTGCGGATTGATCATGGCATGCAACTGCCCCATATTGTATTTTGGTCACCCCCATCGGCATCCCATCTGCTGCTAGTGCCTCTGGCCAGCTTCTCGCATGGTCCTGACACGGTGCTGTCACTCTCACATTATTTGCACACATTGTTTACCTATAGCTGGACACATTGTTCATAGGAGCCCAGCTGGTAAAGTAAAAATATTCCAAGACTGTGCTGATAAGCTACTTCTTCCCTGCATCCTGGGCTGGTGAGAAGCTAAAGAGGAATGAATGCTCTGCCTGTGAAGAGGCCGCACTGCAGAGAAGAGGAGGCAGAGATGCAGTCGTCACGGCCCTAAGACCCTGCCTGGACCCGGTTTTGCAAGTCGAGGGAAGAGTTTTGCACAAATTCTCACTGGGAGCATTGTCAGGGCTGCAGCCACATCACTTTTTTTTGATCTGAGTCCTTTTAACATTAGCTATGATGTCAAAAAAGATGAAATTGAAGTTGTCAACATCTGGTGGAAGGCAAAAACCAGTGAATTTCTACCCAGGGAGAGTTCCTCTGCAGGGTCCCCGCTTCTGGTGGCCTGGAGTTGGGGAGGCCTCTGGAGCAAGTCAGGGGATTAAATTCTGGGTTTTCTTCCATTTTATTATTTTCCTATTTTGACATCTTTGAAAAATGGCTCAGCCTCATAGTGTATGGGTCTTCTGATTGCTTTTGTCTTGATTTTATTCTGACTGAGGGGCAATGGCCACTGTGGGCTCCTCATCCAGGATGAAGAGGGCCCCTCTGTGGCCTGGGTGCATCCATGCTCTTCACGGTGGCCTCATGGATCGTCATACAAAGGATGATCTCAGTGATGAGCTTGAGCCTACCCAAAATTAAATTATATGGGTTTATAAGATTCCTCCTCAGGATCAGTATCATCAGGCCTGTCCCTGCTGGTAGCAAGGCCATCTTTATAATGTGCTGTCATGGTGGTAAAGGCATCACTCACTTGATGGAGATCCCAAAGACCAGCTCTACTCGAGAGAGATTTAAGCTAAGTTGCCTGGGAGTCCTTGGTGCTTTTTCGAGGTTCTACTGAAGACAATGCCATCATCCAAGTATCTCTGAATGCCAACGTAGCTCTTGCCTCAGGAGCTCTGAGACCCATGTTATCTATTTTTGAACTGGCCAAGGCCCCCCACAGCAAGGAAAGGGATGCTCTTCCCATCCTTGTCAGCCCTCGTGTCTTGTATTCCACCCCACAGCCTCCTAGCAAGCATCTCAGTGTCTGCAGGTGAGCATGGCTGAGTTCAGTCTTGCTTACTGCAACTGTAGACATGAGGTCTGTGGAAGTAAGAATCCTCTCATTTGCTGACTGGCATTTTGTTTAAGTCCCATGTCACTAATCTCTGGTGAGACAATCCTCTTTGTGTTTCCTGGTGATGGACTTGAGTGATTTCAATGTAAACAGTGGCTCCACCTGGGAGTGTATCCCCTTCCCACGGGGAGGGGGTGCATAGCCCCTGCCAGGTTTCTGCTGTCCTCTCATCCTCCCACTGGGCTTTTCCCCTGCAGATGGCCTGGTGCCCACACTGCCTGCAAATGGTCACTCTTGCTTGTCCCAACACCACCTCCACTGCAGCTTCCAAGAGCCCTAGAAGGGCCGGGCCCTGGCTGAGCACTATTCCTAGGCCCTGGATGGCGGGTGTGGAACTATGTTCTCATCAAGGTCATTTCCTCTTCTATTTTCATCATGTTAAGTAAATCCCTCTCTCATCATGAAATGCCCTGGAGAGAACAGATGCATAGCTGTGGAGTCTTGTTCTGGGATATGTCAGGTACCGGCTCAGGTGTGTGGAGGCTACAGGGGGTGGACATGAGTGGTCTTTCTCTCGCTGTGAATCACATGTTTTGTGCCAGCCCAAGGGTTCTATGAAGGAGAATCAGCCGTTTACCTGGCTGAGTCTAACCCTGGGATGGCGACAGCCGAAACCCCAGCTCCATTCCCTGACCTTCCCTAGGCTGCCGCATGGGTTCCCTGGCACTGTCACTGGGCTAATGCCTTCTGTCTCCTCCTGGGGTGAGGCCAGCCTTTACTCATAGTTTCTGCCCATTCCACATCATTCTGCCTCCCACCCTTGGCTTTTTCAAAAATCTGAGCCAAGCGTGTGCAAGGGGTTAGAAACATGCTGTCCACAGGGAACTAAAATACACTGAGATGAGAAACCAGCAGCACCTGCTTTGGAGCTGTCACACCTGGGAACTGAGAAGCAAACTCTCAGAGATGCCTGGAAACCTTGGGAGCACATGAGTTCTCTGCATATATTTCAGTTGCAGATGAGTTTCTAGTCAAAGTAAAAAACACATGAAGGGCATTCATGTTTCCAGGAACAGAAGCATCCTGTCTGATTTTTCAGAGGTGAAGGGAGCAGTCTGAAGGGGCCGTGGCATAAGTATGTCTACAATCAAAGCTCACAGCCAAGGCCCTGGGGGAGGTTCAGGTGTACCCCAGGGGGTGCGCCCCATCCAGCACTCCACTGACAGGGGCCTCGTCTTTATTAAATTCTAGGCCTTTTCCTGGGCACTAGTTACAAAAGGTGGGTTCAATGAACCCTAGGTTCTGTGGCTGCCACCCATCTCAGGGTCGCACAGGTAATGATTGCCACCCCCTCCACCTTCTGCTGAGGGTCCTGGTGACCCCCTGGTGGTGTAACCCAGGCCCTCACCCCTAAGGGGTCCTGAGCCTTGCTCACCACAGAGTCCTTGGTCTAGGGCTCCCGCACTTGTCCACATGCCATCAAATGCTGTGTACCGGGAGGTACTTGCGTGGAGCCCCTCCTTCCCCAGGCAGCACAGCCCTGCTTCTGCTAACACCACGGTCCAGGTGGTACCCATTTTTCTGCCTGCAGGTCCCATGGAGGAGTAGCCTGAGGACAAAGCAGCACCCGGAGCTTGTTTTTTCAGAGAACCTGGCCCAGCCCTGGCTAGAAGCCCCACAACTGTGGAAACCAGGGCCTCCTGCTTTTCAGAGCCTAGATATGCAGGATATAGATGCCCCTCAGAGGTCCTGGCTGTGAGGTGGAAGGTTGGGGGACACTGGGCTTCCTACTGCTGTGCTCCCATTGCCACATCTTCTACCTGGTGGGACAAGGCAGCTAGCAAAGGTGACAGATTCACCCAGACACTGTGTCCTCCCACATCCTGACCTGGCACCTGAGCCACCACTGCTGGGTCTGAAGCTCCCAGGAGTGTGTGTGTGCTGTGACCAGCAGACCTATGGCATGTGCCCTCTTCCTCCCTCTGTGGTGTGAAATCAGTTCCTCTGATGGTGTCATGTGAGGTCTTGTCCTGATGGGTAGAACTTTCTATAAACCATCCCATGGCCCCGGGGAAAGGCAAGCTCATCCCTTCAGGTTTAGCTGTTTCTGTTAAATGCAACCCTGTCCTTCCCAGGGCATCAGGGCCCCGTGCAGTTGTCCCAGCCTGGCAGGAAGTCCCCTTGAGGATTGTGTGGAGGGCGCAGCCTGGGTCTGACTCGTGACCCTGGCAAAGAGCAGGTGAGCCCTGGGGCTGACCACCTGCACTTTCTGTTTGGTGGTGGGAGATGTGGGGCAATATTTCTTGCGTTTCCTTTAGAGAGCATCTCCCAGCCTGCCCAGACAACCAGACCCCTAAACATGTGACTTGTAGGCAGGGCCTGGCTCTCTGTGGTGCTTTTCTGTCTCCTCCAAGCACCTGTGACTCACAGGCTTCCAGCCCTGCCAGCTTCCCCCATCTGAGCTCCTGATGCAGGGTGAGGACTGTATTGTGGCAGACAGCATGCCGGTTTACACAGTTCTGGGACGAAACTGTAGGTATACATTATTTTATGTCCCGAGTAAATGAATCCCATTTATGGATACTTTTTTTGACACAGAGGGAAGAAAGGCATTGGTGAGATCCACGGGCCAGAGCTCAGCCTGTGCTCAGGCTCTGGCAGCAGCTGTGCAGCTCTGGAGCTGTTGTGGAGTGGGGAGGTGCTGTGTCTTTGCTCCCTGTGTTAAAGGCTTCATTTGTGTCTTTGTTCAGTTTGTTTTCTTTGACCCCTGTTCAGCAATACTGAAAATCAAGCATTCCTAAGAGGTGGAGACTTTGCTTTGGAGCAGGGGCGGGGGCATTGGGTGGAAATGGGGAATAGGTTGATAGTGGGAATTTCATTTTCTGGAGCTCACGTGCAGCCTCTTGATGGCCTCGTCACAAGTTCACCTGATGACCTGAGTGGCCACTGTCCTTCTCCTGAGTGAGTTACGTGCTTGCCAGGCACATGAGCAGTGCATGCTCACATTTTTCAAATGAAGGAACTGAGAAGGGTTTGTCAGCAGATTGTAAGCCTGAAGCTGCCAGTGTTTGGTCCACAGTAAACCACATGTGGAGAGCTTAAAAAAATTGCCCTCAAATCTGGCAAGAAAATGACAGTAATAAATTAAATTATTACTGTGATACACATGTTTCTTTCATTACAATTAGATATATTACACATATCACAATTTTGCAGAAGTTGCTCATCTATCAGTATTTATTTATTTATTTTTTGCATAAGTTTCCAAGGAATCCTAATGATGGGGACTGTCTCTTTTAAAATTGAATTGTGTAAATAACTCCCAGAGCCATGCTGGTAAGAAACAAAACAAAACAAAAAGAACTAGAAACATGAACAAACATTGGATTTCTGCTGTAAAGAGGATGCAAAGCAGGCCTGCCTGCTGCACCTCCCCAGAGCTAATCCTTGAGCCAAAAGAGCTTCCTGGTGAAGCCTCGCACTCTCTGTAACAGGGCGTGGGGGGACCAAGACATGCGGGCTCCAGATTAGACCATCTTTACCTAGTTATGGGATTTCAGTCACGTCTTTTAAATTCTTTGAGCTGCAGTTTTCACATATGTAAAGTGAAAGTATTTTTAAAATTTTAATTTGTGTTATGACCTTGTATAAAGTTAAAATAGTACATTTGAAAGCATTGTAGCTGAAGTCAAACGTTCACGTGTGTGCATGCAATGGCTTCTTAATTATTTTAGGGCTTAACCTGGTTTTACTGGTACTGTTACTAGCACTGCTACTTCTCCATGTCTCTGAAGACTATGAAATACTTAGAACTTAAGCAACAAGAAGCACCTGTCAAAGCGTTCTATGGCCGATGACAGATTTGACACAGCTGGATATAGTAATATGTTCGATGGTGCCCAGATCATTGCTAAGCAGAGACTTCATGCTATTCTAAGTCGAAAGTGTCCCTAGAATTCTGAACCTGCTGAAGCAGCCTTCAGAACTGAAGTTGAGAAAAGTACATTTTCTTTTTTTTTTTATTATTATTATACTTTAAGTTTTAGGGTACATGTGCACAATGTGCAGGTTAGTTACATATGTATACATGTGCCATGCTGGTGCGCTGCACCCACTAACCCGTCATCTAGCATTAGGTATATCTCCCAATGCTAACCCTCCACCCTCCCCCCACCCCACAACAGTCCCCAGAGTGTGATGTTCCCCTTCCTGTGTCCATGTGTTCTCATTGTTCAATTCCCACCTATGAGTGAGAATATGCGGTGTTTGATTTTTTGTTCTTGCGATAGTTTGCTGAGAATGATGATTTCCAATTTCATCCATGTCCCTACAAAGGACATGAACTCATCATTTTTTATGGCTGCATAGCATTCCATGGTGTATATGTGCCACATTTTCTTAATTCAGTCTATCATTGTTGGACATTGTTGGTTCCAAGTCTTTGCTATCGTGAATAGTGCCGCAATAAACATACGTGTGCATGTGTCTTTATAGCAGCATGATTTATAGTCCTTTGGGTATATACCCAGTATTTTCAGTTAAAGAAAGTCTGAGAGACCGTGTTGCCATCACACCCAAACCCCAATAAATAAACTTGTTCAGGATGAAGAAAAATAACAGTTGGAAATTCTACTTCACAGAAAAGATGAAAGTGTGCCAAAAATAGTAAATATGTGGAGGGGAAATTACTGTTTTAATGACATCCTCCAGGAATTACAACATGTACAAAAGAAAAATCTATGACAACATGGCACAAAAGATGAGAGGATGGTAAGGTAAGGTTTTTATATTTTATATACAGTGTTATGATATTTAATATACATTAAGTATTTATATTTTAATTTCTGAACAACTCACCAAAAATAAATAAATGAAACAAAGAGTCATAGTTAAAAAAAAAACAAGGTACAAAATCCATACTAAAAAAAAACAAAAAGAAAACCCCATAAAACAAACAAACAAACCAAAACTACCATAATCCAGAAGAAGATGAGGAAGGCGGAACAGAGACTGTCAAAATAAGTAAAAAGGAAACCTCAATAACCACTTTTAAAACGAAATACACTTATGAGATAAAGATATAAATAGATTTGAACTGAAAAGATGGACAAATATACACTATGCAAATCTTTGTTATCAAAAACTGCAGCCAGTGTATTAATGGCAGATAAGACAGACTACAAGAAAGACAAGCTTCACCAGGGATAAAGAAGGATGTTTTATACTAATAAGTCCATTTGCTTAGAAAACCTAATAAGCATAAGCATGCATACACCTAAGAAAAATAACAAAATACATGAAGCAAAAGTTATTGAATTAAAATGATAAATGCATAAATCCACAATTTGACAATTCTAATTCTTATATCTCAGAAATTAATAGAAAAAAAACTACAACAATAAGACTACAAGGTATTAATAGGAGAGATTATAACCAGAGCACTGGGAGAAAAACAGCAATATCCAATATGCTTACAACTATTGGTTGACAACTCAAAAGTTCCCAAAAGAATTTTTGACACCAAATAAAGGTAAATAGCCTGGAAAACCTACAAGCCAGCATAGGAAGGAAGTGGAAAATGAAACATTGATTGAAAATAAATCTGGAAGTCCGGGCGCAGTGGCTCATGCCTGTAATCCCAGCACTTTGGGAGGCCAAGATGGGTGGATCACCTGAGGTTGGGAGTTCGAGACCAGCCTGACCAACATGGAGAAACTCTGTCTGTACTAAAAATACAAAATTAGCTGGGTATGGTGGTGCATGCCTGTAACCCCAGCTACTTGGAGGCTGTCGTAGAAGAATTGCTTGAACCCGAGAGGCAGAGGTTGTCGTGAGCCAAGATCTCCCCATTGCACTCCAGCCTTGGCAACAGGAGCGAAACTCTGTCCCCCAAAAAAAAGAAGAAAAGAAAAGAAATCTGAAAAAAGGAAAAGAGAATTGAGGATAAAGCTTTGCAAATACAAAATCCAAAAATCAAATGATAGAAATAAGTTCAAATATATCACTTTTTCCTACCAAACATAGAGGGATTAACCTCATATATTAAAATACAAAATTATCAATAACTAAGCAGCACTTTCAAATTAAAGAAATTAAAAATTAAATATTTTATAAAAATTTTAAGTAAATATTCACAGAAAGCAAGCTGCTATCACAAAATTAATTTTAGTTTAAATAAAATTTAAGGAAGAAATAATAAACAACAAGATTGACACTGCACATGGAGGGACCATAGAACCGGGTAGGTGAACCAACGTCAAGTCCAATGCTGGCCTCACCTCCAGGACATACAAAGAAACTAACAGGATAGAGCAGGTCTAGAGAGGGACACTGGAACTCATACTTCTGAATTTAAATGGGAAATAGACAAAGATGTTATGTGTTTATAAAAGGTTTTAAATCACAACAAATGCTGAATGTACATCACTTTCTAGTATATGTAATACTTACCAAATGGGACCCATATTAGGTTGCAAAAGAAATTACAAAAACCCGGAGATAGGGACCAAAGGACTAAAAGAAGTCAGAACAAAAAACACGCCCCATATATTTTAGGGAAAAACAGCACAGTGATTTAATGGTAAATCACTATAAACATGAAGGCATTCACCTAGAATAGAGATGAGATGCCAGAGTTCAAGACGACAACATGTGTCAGCCTGACTTTCTGAATGACTGCACAGGCAAGGCTGCCATCCATGGAAGCGCAGAAAAGGACACCCCTTAGGTCCTGGATGGAGGAGGATGACCCCCAATACTGGATAGAGAAAGATGCCCTCCAATTCTGGGATGGAGAAGGATGCCCCCCAGTCCTGGATGGAAAAGGATGCCCCCTAGTCCTTGATGGAGAAGGATGCCCCCTAGTTACTAGATGGAGAATGATGTCCCCTGAGTCCTGGATGGAGAAGGATGGTCCCCCAAGTCCTCGATAGAGAAAGATGGTCGTCCAAGTCCTGGATGGAGAAGGATGCCCCCCTCAGTCCTGGATGGAGAAGGATGCCCCCTAGTTACTGGATGGAAAAAGATGTCCCCCAAGTCCTGGATGGAGAAGGATGCTCCCCAATTCCTGAATGGAGAAGGATGCCCCCTAGTTCTACATGGAGAAGGACAAACCCAGTCCTGAATGGAGAAGGATAACCCCCCAGTCCTGGATAGAGAAGGATGCCCCCCAAGTCCTATATGGAGAAGGACAAACCCCAGTCCTGGATGGAGAAGGATGCCCCCCAAGTCCTATATGGAGAAGGACAAACCCCAGTCCTGGATAGAGAAGGATGCCCCCCAAGTCCTAAATGGAGAAGGATGCCTCCAAAGTCCAGATGAAGAAGAATTTCCCCCACTCCTGAATGGAATAGGATCCCCTTCAAGTCCTGGGTGGATAAGACACCTCCCAAGTCCTGGGTGGAGAAGGACACCCCTCAGGTCCTGGATGGAGAAAAGATGCCCCCTAGGTCCTGGATGGAGAAGGATGTTCCCCAAGTTCTGCTTGGAGAAGGTGGCTCTGGGGACCTCATGGGGAAGGATGCCCCTTTTCCAGCCTCCCCATCCATACTTATCCTGACTTGTTAGTGTAGAACAAAGAGATTTGGAGGAAGAAACACAGGACTAAACTTTAGTCAGAATGTTTTCCTTTTAATCGACATTTTATAAATTCTAATTTTTATTTGATAAAAATAAGTGAAATGTATGACATAAACACAGTGTAACAACCGATTAGACCTATTTTTCCGATCTGAGTCCTGGCTACCGGCTCTATTAGTCATTCTACTTTTCTGTATTTGCAAAGCTTCTCAAAATTAAAGATAAAAGAGTTTATTGCTAGTAACATGTATAAATAGACATTGAATAAAATGTGGCTCTTTAAAAATTAGTTTATTCTATGGGCTTCTTTTGAAAGGTTATGGTGTACTAAAATTACTGGTGGATCTTTATTACAAGCTCACTGGTAAAAATAGTCAATATGGGAATATTCTAATTTGTTAGAAATTAGTGTTGAGTGAGTATTAATCAAAACTTTAAAACCAAAATACATGGACATAAGAATAAATTATTCGACTTAATTATCCACTGACTTTAAATTCTAATTGCTAAATTTACTTTTTGCCCATTTCACCTCCTTCAAATCTCCAAGTAACTCTTCATTTTTCTCTCCTGTCAATATTTTATTCTCCCTTATTTTTTTTTCTATTTCCTGATTTTTTGAACAACTCCAAGGGAGTTGTGTTTTGCTTGTGTTGAATGACGTCATTACACCAACCCGTTAGGCAACTAGAACGTCACCAAGGTGAGCACTAGGAGACTTCAGACCACGGAGCCTCTCCTGATTTTTGACTCAGGTTACCTGGCAACTGTGTTTAAATTATGAGTTGTTTAATTTTTTTAGATCCCCTATAGATAAAGAAGGATTTTAATAACCATCAATTTAAAATGCACTGGGACACTTCATGACTGACATTTCTTGCAGTTTCTGTGCTGTGGCCTCATGAGTAACTGTCTGTAAGGAACATCATGTTCCTCATTCTGCCCTTGCTCCTTGGGCTCCAAAGGGAAAGACCAGAAATTCTGTGGATATAAAACATGGAAACATTCATTCTTTAAAGGAAAAGGCGGTAAAGCAGAGATGAGGAAAGGATGGTATTGAATACATGCAAATGGATAAAATATGAATGATCATGTTCTCATGTTCAACTCAATTTTTAAAAGTGGATGTATGAGCAGTGCGAGCATTTAGTCAGGGCATGGTGGGCCTGTGGGCTAGAACAAGAGGCCACACTCAAGGAGAGATGGCACTCACGACGGGGGGCCTCTGCTCCTTTATGACTCCCCTTCCTCAGTGACCCAGAGCACCCTCCTATCACAGCCTGTAGGGGAGAGGAAGGTGTTAGGGCACTTTGAATCACAGCGGAGTGTGTGTCTACATGCTCTCCTCACATGCCACAAATCTGCATCGCTTTACAATATTTCAATAGATTATGAGTAAGGAAGATCGCTGCAGAACCAGTAAAAGCTGCCCTCCCAGACAATGCGCTAAATTGGGTTTTACAAAGTATTGTGAGAGATCTCGGGAGAGGGGGAGCAACCTGCTCATAGATTTTGCCAAAATCAACATTTAAACACCTCCGTTAGGCAGAAGAGCAGTGCTACTGGAATTAGTTAGCAGTTCTTTCCTGCTGGACATCTCTCAGCCTCCAGACCCTACAGAGAAGAGGCCATGACCTAAAAGCAGTTTAAAAGCTTGAAAAAATAGAAGCTAAGGATTAAGCAAATATCGAAATTTAGAAAAGGAGAGAAGACTTTATTTCTTGTAGAGGGTTACAGCCTGCAAGGTGGCCACCCCACAGGCTGGGAAGAACAGCCTCCTGCCGAGACCAGAGATGGGCACTTCCAGGAGGAGGGGTTGGGGCAGGAGCTTTGGGGTGAAAAGGTTGGCTAAAGATACACAGTCATCAGGAGACAGGCATAACAACATAAAACCAGTTGTAGGTAACACAGAATGATTCTGATATTGATGTTCAATTCCACACACTAACAGACGTGAGAACCTCATTCACCGCACGTGGAGAAGGCACTGTATCTGCTCCGTGGTGGTCCCGATGACTTGTGTTTATCGTTGCCTGGGTCTGCATTTTCTCTTCTCTAGATTTTGCTTATCCTGCAAAGTTTGTGCTGGGACATCATTTCTAGGATTGAGTTTAAGCTGAGCCTCAGAGTTTTTATTGCAGCTACGGTGGATATGGCTTGGTTCCCTGCAGTACTCTCTGGAAAGTACCTTCCTCCATTTGAAATCCCTGACGTGGTACCTCCTACAGCCTGCACAGCTCTGGCCTCTGCCATGGGTCTCATGGCCTCTTCTGCTAAAACTAGAGAGGAGGTTCATCCCCTGCCTCTTTATAGAGAAGAGCCACTTGCTGACTGAGCTGAAAAGGGACTCCCCACTGAGCAGGCTCACCAGTGTCCCGACAGCCGGGCAGATCATGGGGACGGGGAATTCTGAGCAGACCCTCTTCAGAAGTTGAGTCTCAAGGGGCCTTGGGGAACTTGGTCAGCAGATGGCAAGACTTCATCTGTCAGTGGGCGGGTCAGCTCAGCGGGACTCCTGTCTTTGGAACTGAGACTCAAGTCTCTACTCTGTACCAAGACAGAGATGGAGGCCAGGAAACAAGACACACAACCATTTTCCATCATCGAGGGGCAAGGCAGGGCTTGGCATGAGGCAGAACCGGGCTCCATCAATGCCACATGTCAGGAGGAACCCCTTTTCTGTTTCAATCCCTCCTGCCCATTTGTGGGAGGCATTAGAGAGGCCTGACATAGTTTTTTTTCTCCACGGCCTGAGGACGTGATAGGATTTCATTCCCGCCCCACCTTGTGGTTGGATGGAATCATGTGCCCAATTCTGGTCAAGATCAAGAAACTGAGGTATCATTTTTGTTTGTGTGGGACCAGGAAAATGGCTCTAATTTGGCTTTGTGTTTGTGCATGTGTGTGAGAACGGACAGGTAAATGTGTGTAATGGAGAGTGGGTAGGTGAGTGTGTACGTGTGTGAGAGTGTGTATGTGAGTTGTGTGAATGTTTGTGAAGAAATGTGTGATAGTGGTGTTTGAACTTGGCAGTATGAGTGTGTATGTGGAATATAACTGTGTGCGGATGTGTAAATATGAGTGCATATGTGTGTTAATGTGTGTAAGTGTGTGAATAAGCCATGTGAGTGTGGTGTGTGAGCTTGGGTCCATGAGTGTGTGTGCGTGTCTGTGTGAGCATGACAGAGTGTGTGAGTTTGGGGTGTGTGCAGGCCACAGCCAGTCCCTCCTGGGGTACTAGATCTTTCCAACCCAAGCACCTCAAGTCGTTCTCCTTCCTCACTCCATCCTGAGCTTCCCAGCCAACTGCCTCTCATCCAAACTCCCACAGGGAAACAGTCCCTGGGACTAGGGGCTCTGAGCATGGCACAGTGCCAAGTCTCCTCCCTGGCCACCTCCTGAGAACCTGGGTGTAGCACAAAACAGTCAAATATGTTCCTCTTCTGTCATCACTAACTAGAGCTCCACAGCTTCCCAGATTGCCCTGTTAGCTCTTCACCATAATTAGCTATTTTCTGATATCATACTAACATTCCTTAATTATTCCCTCAGAAACAAAGCAAATCCGTGGGATGCAGAGGGTACGCTGATGACTTCTGCTGGGGAGAGAAGCCCAAACACACGTCCTGGGCAGAGCCCAGAGACCTGGAGTGTGGCTGCCAGTGGGCACCCGGCTGAGGGACAAGCAGGTGGGCCTCAGTGGTGGCTGCCAGGTCCCTGGACGCCGGGGGCCACCGGCTTTGCCTCTCCTCTGCCTCGGAAGCACCGGAGGCTTTGGGGATCTGGTGGTCCTCCGGCCCTGAACGTGGACCTGGTGTGACAAAGGGAAGTTTGCCATCTCCATCCTCCTCAAGCTGCCTGTGCACCCCAGTAGCACTCACCCTCTCTGTGCTCCCGTCTGCACCGCATGTCCTGGGGTCCTTCTTTGTGCTGCACCCAGTGACAGGAACCAGTGTCCCGACTGTGACTTACTTCCCCCCTCAGGGACACACAAGGACTTTCACATCGAGGCTACTTTTCACCCCTTCTGCCTCCTGCAGGGACGCTGCATGCAGAGGCAGGAGGACAGAGGGGCTGGTCTCAGGTGTGGCTTCTCTCATACCTGGCGCAGGTGGCCACTCCCCTTCCCCCCCCCACTCCCCCACCCCACCTCAGCTCCCGGGTGTGAATGAGAAAGGGGAACCAAGAGATCATCATTACATGGGACATGCCACAAACCCCAAAAAGACCCATTTGGTGAAAAGAAGTAAAACAACCACAAGGCTATTTTGGCCTGAGGTGGTCTCATGGCTGAAGCAGCCGCTGGTCTCTTGCCTGGGCTACTCAAATAGTAACCCGGTGTGTCCTCCCATGTGCATTTTCCTTCGGGTTGAGCAAAAACACTTTGTCATCCTCCCACTCCTCAATAGAGCAGAAGGGAATGAAAGGCAACTACAGGGCCTTACAGAGCTGCTCCGGGGGCCGCGGGAAACTTATCAGCATCCTAGAAAAGACAAAACCAGTGGGTTGCATGTGGCCTCTGACACCTGCCACCCTGACTGCAGGGAGTGGCCTCCCCCACCTTTCACCTTCCCATCATTAGTAAGCAAAGTGACCCCCTACGCCTGGACAAAGCGCTCAAAAGCCCAGGCCCGCGGGTTAGCTCCAGCCGCTCGGCTTGACAGGGGCCAGGGAGGCGGGCCAGCCCCACAGCCAAGTCACAGCTCCAGGGCCTGGTCGCACCTGAGCAGCGCGGCCTCGGGCTGCTGCTGGCGCTGCAGGATCCGCGCCTGACCCTCCAGCCTGCGCAGCAGGCACTCGGCCGGGAAGCACCTCTCCAGCAGGCGGCTCAGCACCACGTTCACGCGCCCGCGCCTGTGGCCGCGCGGGCCCCAGCTCCACTTAGCGCTCACAGACCGTGAGCCCGCAGGGCAGCGTCACAGGCTTGTGCAGCAGCCGTGGGCAGCCAAGCAGGTCGCGGGGCGCGCCGGGCGCCAGGGCCGGCCCTCCCTAGCCCTGAGCTCGCCGCCAGGCTTCCCCGCCAACAGTGGCCGTTCGCGCAGGCCGGGACACACCAGGCCGCCCGCCAGCTCCCCCAGCTCCTCCGGACTCAGCGCCTCCAACCTCCCGGCTACATGGAACGCGCCCAGGGCCACCGGGAGGCGGCCGGCGCGGGCCAGCGCGTCCCCCAGCCTCAGGCACCGGCCGCGGTCGGGCTGCGCCAGCAGGGCCAGCATGGAGCGGAAGAGCCCGGCGCTTTCTGGTACTTGCTCGCGCGGAAGGCCTCGTCGCCCTCCTCCAGGCGGTGGGCGATTGGCTTCCCGCAGCAGCAGCCCGACACTGGGGCGGCGGCGGCGGGACCGGCTCAGTGCTGATTCTCGCGGGGCTGCGACCGTGCGGGCCTGGAGCGAAGGCGCGGAGCAGGGGCGATGAGCTGCTGCTGGGAACTGGCCGGCGGGAGCGCGGCCACAGCCTTCGCCTGCAGAACCAAAAAAACGGTTTTAAAAATCTTTTTAACATCCGCAGAACGTGAAGAATTACATTGGAAATTGGTTAGAGATTGTATTGGACCTATAGATTGATTTGAGTATGATGGTCATTTTAACAGTATTAACACTTCTAATTCAAAAAATGGGATAACCTTGTCTTTACTTGTATCTTTTCAATTGATTTTTATCAATGTTTTATAGTTTTCATTTTAGACGTCTTTATTTTGCCAGGCATTTTTTTTATAGCTATTTTCAATGGGGATTCCTTTTTCAGATAGTATGCTGTTGGGTATAGAAATGCATCTGATTTTTCTATGCTGATTTTGTATTCTAAAACTTTACTGTATTCATTTACTGTTTCTGTTTTTCAGTATAGGGTCTTTTATACATATGACATGATCTATGTCATCTGCAAACAGGGACAATTTGACTTTCTTTTTGTTTTTCAATTTGGATGTCTTTTCTTTCTCTTTTCTAATTGCTCTAGCTAGGACTTCCAGTGCTATGTTGAAGAGAAGTTATTAAAGTGAACATCCTTGTCTTGTTCTTGATCTTAGAGACACAGTTTTCAATTTTTCCTTATTCAGTATCATGTTGGCTGTGGGTTATCACATATGGTCTTTATTTTATTGAGTTATACTCTTTTTATAACTGATTTGTTAAGAGATCTTATGTTTACAAAAAACATTGAATTTTGTCAAATGCTTTTTCTGTATCTATTTAAATGATTATATGATTTTTATCTTACCTTATCGAATGTGGTGTATCACATTTATTGATTTATATATCATAAGCCCTCCTTGCCTCCCTGGAACAAATACAGCCTGATTATGGTGAATCATCTTTTTAATGTGCTTTCAAATTATGATTGCTAGCATTGCTGGTTTTGAATTTTTGCATTTATGTTCATCACTGATATTGGCCTGTAGTTTAGTTTTTCACTGTTCTTGTCGCATTTTGGAATAAGGTAATTCTGTCTTCATAGAATGAGTTTGGAAGAGTTTCCTCCTTTTCACTTTTTTTGGAACAGTTTGTAAATAATTAGTATATGTTCCTCTTTAAATGTTTTGAAGAATTCAGCAGTATAAGCATTGGATCCTCGATTTTTATTTTCTTCTCCTTCCCTCCCTTCCTTCCTTCCTCCCTCCCTCCCTCCCTCTGTCTCTCTTTTCTTCCTCTTTCTTTCTTTCTTTCTTTCTTTCTTTCTTTTTCTTCTTCTTCTTAAATATTTTTGGTTTAGAGACATGGTCTTTCTTTGTCACTCAGGCTGGAGTACAGTGGTGCAATCATAGCTCACTGCAGCCTCAAATTCCTGGTCTTAAGTGATCCTCCTGCCTCAGCCTCCCAAGTTGTTAGGACTGCAAGTGCACACCACTAAACCTGGATAATTTTTATTTTTATTTTTGTAAAGACTGGGTCTCACTATGTTCCCCAGGCTAATCTGGAAATTCTGGCTTCAAGTAATCCTCCTGCCTTGGCCTCCAAAGTGTGAGATGACATGTGTGAGACACTGTGCCAGCCCTCCAGATTTTCTTGTATTGAGAGACAATGCTTCAATCTCTTTATTTGTTATTGGTCTGTTCGCATTTTGTATTTCTTAATTCTTCAATTTTGATAGGTTATATGTGTTCAGAAACGTATTTATTTCTTCTAGGTTTTCTAATTTATTGGCATATAATTTTAGTACTTTCTCATGATTCTTTGTATTTCTGTAGTAACCATTTTAATGTCTTTTTTCATCTCTCATTTTATTTATGTGAATCTTCTCTCTTTTTTCTTAATCTGACTAAAGATATATCAATTGCGTTTATCTTTTCAAAAAATAACTTTTTATTTCATTGATCTTTCATATTTTTGTCTCCATTTTGTTTATTTGTGCTCTGGTCTTCATTATCTATATTCTTTTACCAATTTGGGGCTAAGTTTGTTCACGTTTCTATAATTCCTTGAAATGCATTCTTAAATTATTAATGAGAGTTTTCTTTCTTTCATATAGAAATTTATTTCTACAAACTTCCCTCTGAGGACTTTTTCTGCTGTATTTCGTAAGTTTTTATATGTTCTGATTTCATTTTCATTTGTCTTAAGAATTTTTAAAATGAAACAAAATTTATTTTTTAACCCATTGTTTGTTTAGGGGCACGTTGTTTAATTTTGTATGTATTTGCACAATTTCTGAAGTTCTTGTTGTTTATTTCTAGTTTTATTCTATATTGTCAGAAAAGATGTGATATAATTTTGATTTTTTTTTGAATTTGCTAAGGCTCATTTTGTGCCTAGTATATGATCTATCATGGAAAATGTTCCATGCGCAGTAGAGAAGACTGTGAATTATGCAATTGTTGGATAACATGTTCTGTAAATGACTGCTAAGTTATTTGGTCTAGAGTTCACTTTAAATATGATGTTTCTTTGTTGATTTTATGTCTTGATAATCTGTTTATTGCTGAAAGTAGAATGTTACTATTATTTTATTGCTTGCTGTTTCTCCTGTTAGATCTATTAACATTTGTTTTATATATTTAGGTCCTTCAATATAGAGGGCATATATATTTACAATTATATTATCTTGTGATATTGATCCCTTTATCATTATATAATGGCTGTATTTGTCTGTTTTTATAGGATTTTGTTTGAAGTATATGTTATCTGATATAAATATATCTATACTGGCTTTCTTTCGGTTTCCATATTTATAAAATATATTTTTCCATCTGATCACTTTCAATTTATGTGTGTATTTACAGATGAAGTGAATTTCCTGTAGAAAGTTTATAGTTAGGTCTTGTTTTTAATCAGTGTAGCCATTATATGTCTTAAATGGGATAATCCATTTACATACAAGATAATTATTGATAGGCAAGGACTTGGTTCTGCCATATTATTACTTGTTTTCATGTTTTTTTTAATTTGTACTTTGATTGATTGATTTCTCTATCTTCCTTTGTGATTAAGTGCTTTACTCTATCAGTGTGTTTCGGTTTTTTTTTTTTTTTAATTTTTAGAGTATCTTTTAAAAGTTTTTGCTTTGTGGTTACCACAAGGCATGCAAAGAACATTTTGTGGTTACAATAAGTTATTTTAAAGAGATAGCAACTTAATTTTGATTCAAAAAGAGGGGAAAAGAAACCACTCTACTCTTTAACTCCATCACTCCCTCACATTTTGCATTTTTGATGTCTTAATTTACATCTTTGTATATTGCTATTCCTTAACAAATTATTGTAATTATTATTATTTTATTTGTATTGTTTTTTAACCTTCCTACTAAGGATATATAAGTGCTTTACATCCAATTATTACCATATTAGAGCATTCCAAATTTGTCTGAATCCTCACTTCTACCTGTGGGTTTATACCTTCAGATTTTTTGTGTTACATATTGCTGCCATTTTCTTTCAGTTTGGAGAACAATATTTAGCGTTTCTTGTAAGGCTGGTTTGATTACAATGAATTCCTTTGCTTTTTGTTTGTCTGAGAATGTTTCAATCTCTCCTTTATTTCTAAATGATAGCTATGCTGGATACTTTATTCATGGTTGACAGTTTTTTTAATTCAGCACTTGAATCTATTATCCTACTCTCTCCTGGCCTGTAGTGCTTCTGCTGAGAAGTCTGCTGCCAGGCATATTGGAATTCTCTTATGTGTTGTTTCCCTTTTCTTAGTCCTTTCAGGGTCTTCTCTTTGTGTTTGACATTTGAGAGTTTAATTATAAAATGTCTTTGGTTGTCTTATTCAGATTAAATATGATTGGGCACTTTGACCATCCTAAACATTTTAATCTTTCTCCAGGTTTAAAAAGTTTTCTGTTATTTCTTTGAATAAACTATCTCCTTTTCATTCTTAGTTCCCCTTTAACACCAATGATATGTAGATTTGCTCTTTTGTTGGTGTCCCACAAATCTCATAAACTTTCTTTGTTTCTTTTCATTCTTTTTTTCATTCTACTCTGACCATGTATTTTCAAAGAGCCTGTCTTTGAGCTCACTGTTTCTTTCTTCTGCTTGATCAGTTCTTCTGTTGATGCCTTCCGTTGGATTTTCAATGTGTTAATTGAACTTTCCTGCTTCAGGATTTACATGTGATTTTTCCCATTATTTTGATTTCTTTGTTGAATTTCTCTGGTAAATTTCTGAATTATGTCTCTGCTTTCTCAGTGTTCAGGCTCTTCTTAAAACAGCCATTTTGAATTCTTTGCCTGCCGGATCATTCATCTGTATGTCTTTAAGTTCAGTTGCTGACACCTTGTTTTGTCCATTTGGAGAGGCAACTTTTCCTAAGCTATCATTATTATATGTAGATATACATCTCTGTCTAAACATTGATGAATTAGATATTTATTTGTGTCTTCTCAGTCTGGGTTTGTTTGTGACTACTTTTAAGTGGGCTTATTAGGAAATGTTGAGCGGACTTACCATCGTATTCCATTTTAGCATTAGAGAGAGTCCAAATCCCACGTTAGACATAAGTCTTCCAATGGCTCCACCACTGCTGCAACATTTGCTGGATGGGCCCATGGGTGATCCACAGGGAGCCCCTGGCTATGGGGGAGAACAAGTCAGGCCGTCAAGCGTGTAGTCTGTGTATTATGTTTCACATGGTGGCTGTTGCTGGCCCCACCTCCTCTTATGTCCTTAACATGCCTCAGGTGGTTCATCCCTTTTGGCACTCATGGTGCCACTTGTGGGCTGATACAGGAGTGAGTCTACTGTGAAGGCACTCAGTATAGTGGAAAAAACAAATATCAACCTCCTGCTGACTTTTTTCAGTGTAAAAACTATAAGCCCTATGGGAGTTTCTGCAGATGGTACCATAATGGCCTGAGGGAGGAGTATCACAGTCACAGAGTATTGGTTCTCTCACTCTGTAAGCCATGGTTTTACCCATCTTCACAGGCCAAAGGTGCTTCATAACCTTGTTCATGTATTGAGGTTCTGTTGGCTCTTGTAATGGTAATTTCACATGTGGACAGTTGTTCATATTGATGTTTCTATAGGGGTATGATAGCTGGAGAGGTCTGCACCACTGTCTTGCTCTGCCTCGATCATTATTTTTTTCTAACAAGAATTTGTCTCCTCCTAGTTTTTCTTTTTCTCTTAACCGACCTAGGTATAGCCTTTTAATCCTTCTCCCTCCTCTGCTTCTAATGTCATTGCTTCTTTGTATGCCTATCATATCTACATGCTACATGACCTTCAGCTGGTTATGTATAATATATAAGACTTAATATCCTATAAAATAGAGGTAATAATAGCATCTACTTGATAGGAAAGTTAAGAATATTAAATGACACCATTGATGTTAAATGGAGGTAACTTTCTGAAATGTATTAATGAGACATGATTCTTTGTTCTAGTCCACTTCATAGACTAGACTACTTTGTTTGAGTTTTCTCTTTTCAGTCAGAGAAAGCAATAAAATTGTAATAGTAAAAATTAAATAAAATTTAACTTAAAATTGTGTTCTGGTCTTCTCATTGTTCAGCCGTGGAAAGCAATAAAATTGTGATAGCAGAAATTAAAAGTGAGCAGAGACTTATTTAAAAATTGGTATTCTCCTTTTCAATGCCAAAATAAGAACTAGAAACTTTTAATAAGGCAACAGTCTGAAGAAACAATTTATTGAAGAGAATATGGGTTTCTAAATCCTAACAAGTTTTTTTACGTATGTGAGTCAAGTTTGGCTGCCTTGAATCCTATTATGACTTTAATGGAAGTTCTAGTTAGGGTGGAAAGTGTCAAAGAAAACAGTTGCACCAGACAAAGTTAAACACATAAAAAAGCTGTTATTGAAGACTATTGCAAAAGGGCAAAGAGGCCAGAACTTAGTCTGAACTCAGCTCCACTGAAACAAACAGCAGTAGAGATTTTAAGAGCCAGGATGAGGGGGAGATCATAGACCACTTGTCTTTGATAGTTGTCTTTTTCCAAAGGAATATTAAACTATCTTTTATCTTTATGACAGAAGGTGATTTTACAAATTAGAGGAATATGCCCACCAAAATTTGGCTCTTACTCTCTCATGGAGTCTGGGAGATAATGGTGTTATCTTTTTTGAGAATTACATTTCAAAGGGATGGCTCTGAGGTCCTTGAAATGGACATTTCTGAAGTGTAAAACTGGCACGTGGGCTCTTAGAAAGATTTATCAAAGAGGCAGAGAAAGAATTTACAATGATAACATTTCTAAAATATGCTAAAGAAAAAAAGAGGTGAGGAGCCAAGAATCAGAAATAATCCTGTCTAAAATTTTATCAAACTGAGGGGATGGCTTTAGTCAAAGGTTTAGTGTAAGGGGAATTTCTATGAAGAAGAGGAAGAGAAGAGCTTTTAACTACACAGGAAGAAGAAAGTTCCCAGGAGATGTGACTATGGCTCTGCCTGTGTCTCTGATCAGGTATTCAGCCCCAACATCCTCCTGGGACTCGCTCAAACAGATGGATAGGAAAAAATAGACAGTTAAAGAAAGATGAGAAAATATGCAGGCTGGTGTCTTACTTCTCTAGTGCACATAGGGTGTCCCAGGAATGACAGAGTGGCAGGACAGGGGGAAGTGCCTGAGAGATCAGCTCCCTTACTCTCAGCCTGTGAGTGCTGTCTGAAAAGCCAGTCTCTCCAAGCTTGGTGGAAGGGGGACTCACACCTGGTTTGACAGGACCAGTGGAGGCCCCTGGTGGGACATGCTGGCCTCAGAATGTGAGGTCTTGGAGGCTAGAGGAAAATGGCAGTGGGTTACCAGAAACTTCATCACTGAGTGCCAATACATGCAAAATCAAAGAGAAGATGAGCCATGTCAGCAGATATCAGTGAAGAATGCCCAGAGAAGACTCCACTGACCATACACAGCACAGACCAGCCTGTTCCAGAGGACAGTGCAAATGGCACGCCACAGCAACAGAGGCGACTTCGACCCCGCCCACGCCATCAGCAGCTCGGACCCTAGGGTCAGATACCACCACAGAGGCTAATTCCAGTGGTCGCCCCGCATATCAGGAAGACGGGAACCTGCACTCAGCACCATCCCCGTGGCTGCACAGGGCCCAGGACTCGTAACCCGGCGCTCTGGTTGCGGGCCAAGAAAGAGCGTAACCTAGGGTGGCATGTCGGTGAACTCGGCGACCCTCTGACAACCTGGGAGCAGCCCCAACAGCCTCAGTTGTGGGCTCAGCTGCAACTGCCACCTGCCGATGGTGCACGGGAGCAGCAGCGGCAACCCTCGACCCTGTCCCCGCCACCAGCAGCACGGACAGCAGGGCCAGATAGCACCGCGGCGCCTAAGACCTTAGGCCACGCAGCTGCAGGAGGACGTGAAACGGGCGCTGACCGCCCCCCAGAAGCTATGCAATCCCCAGCGCAGGCGAGTCCTCACTCTGGGCGCGGGCCAAAGATCAGACACTACGATGAAAGGACGGTGAACTTGGTGACCCTGAGGCTCGCAATGGGTTTAGCAGCAGCTGCCAACTGCAACCAACCCTGACCCTGCCCGCGTCACCAGCAGCAGTAACCCAGGGCCAGATGCCGCCTCAGCGGCTAATTCAGGTAATCGTCCTCCAGCTGCAGCAGGGCGGAAATCCGCTGCTCAGCCCCACCTCGGCGGCTGCACAGAGCCCAGCGCCCGCACAACCCGCTCTTGGTAAGGGCAAAGGAAGAGCGGACCTAGGGTGGGAGGACCCTGCACTCCCTGACCCTCAGGCCGTCTGGGGCCAGCCCTGCCAGCCTCTGTCTAAAGCTACGCTGCAACTGCTACCTGCTCATGGCGCGCAGCGGTGGCAAACCCGGACTCCGCCCGCCGACACCAGCGGCCTCGAAACCCTAGAGACAGACTCCACCTAGTGGCCAAAATCAGGCAGTCGGCCCACAGCTGTAGGAGAGCGGGAACCTGCCCTTCAGCGGATTCCTGGAGGCTGCACAGTGCCCAGCGCCAGCCACCCGGATCTGGGCGCGGGCAAATGACCCTCAGGCCGTCTGAGACCGGACCAGCCCTGCAGCCTCAGCGGTGGGCTCAGGGGCGACTGCCACGTGCACATGGTGAACTATAGCAGCTGTGGCAGCCCCCGACCCTGTGCAAGCCACCGGCAGTGCGGACCCCATGACCAAAAGCCGCCGCGGCGCATAACTCAGGCGGTCGGCCCCCCAGCAGCCAGAGGGCGGAAACTTGCAGCTTAGCCCATCCCAGCGCCTGCACTGTGCTCAGCGCCTGCAATCCCACTCTCTGGGAGCGGGCAAGGAAGACTGGACCTTAGGGTGGGAGGGCGGTGCATTCGGGGACCCTCAAGGCTTCTGGAATAAGCCCTTCCAGCCTCCGCTGCGGGTTCAGCTGCAGCTGCCAGCTGCACACTCCTGGAAGCAGCAGCGGTGGCAGCTCTGGTCTCTGCCAGCTCCAGCAGCAGCGCGGACCGCCGAGCCAGAGGTCACTGCGGCGCCTGTTAGGAGGTTGGCCTCTCAGCTGCAGGAGGGCGGGAATCTGCACCCAACCAGATCCTCATGGCTGCACAGTGTCCAACGCCCACGACCCTGCAATTTGGGCGCCGGCCTAGGAATAACGGACCCTGGGGTGGAAGGGCGGTGCACTCAGCCACCCTTAGGCAACCTCAGACCAGCCCTGACAGCATCTGCCTGGGACTCAGCTGCAGCTGGCACCTGCGCATGGCGCACGGCAGTAGTAGTGGCAGCCCTGACCCTGCCCTCAGACACCAGCAGCAAAGACCCTAGGGCCGGATGCCTCCAAGGCATCTAAGTCAGGTGGTCGGTCCCATAGCGCTGGGGATTGCAGCGGTCGCCCGCTGCAGCGGGGCGGAAATCGGCTGCTCAGCCCCATAGCAGCTGTGGCAGCCCTCATCTCTGTCCATGCCACCAGTAGCACGTACCCCAGGGTCAGATACTGCGGTGGCGCCTAATTCAGACTGTAGCTGCAGCAGGGCAGGACTCCGCCGCTCAGCCCCATCCTGGAGGCTGCTCAGAGTCTAGCGCTCGTACACCGCGTCCTGGGAGCAGGCTAAGGAAGAGCAGACCCTAGGGTGGTAGGGCGATGCACCCAGAGACCCTCAGGGTGTCTGGGACCAGCCCTGCCGGTCTCTGCCACGCGCTCAGCTGCAGCTACCACCGCCAGGTGGCTCCCGGCAGCAGCGGTGGAAACCCCGCTGACCTTGCCCGCCGCCAACAGCAGTGAGGATACCACGGCTGGATCCCTTGCCAGGGCGGGAACCTGCCGCTCAGCATATTCTGGGCAGCTGCACAGGGCCCAGCGCCTGAAACCCCGGGCTCTGGGCTCGGGCCAAGGAAGAGTGGACCCTAGGCTGGGAGGGCGGTGCACTCGGCGATCCTCACGCTTTCTAGGACCAACCCTGCCGGCGTCTACTGAGAACTCAGCTACAGCTGCCACCTGTACAAGGGCGCCGCAGCAGCAGAGCAACCGGGCACTTTGCCTGCACCACTAAGAGCCAGGACACCGGGGACAACGCCGCCTCAGCGCCTAATTCAGGCACTCAGCCCAGCAGCTGCAGCAGGGCAGCAACCTTTGCCCTCGGCCGAAGCACCTTGGCTGCACAGTTCCCGGTGCCCGCGACCCGGAACTCTGGGCGCAGGCAAAAGAAGAGCGTACACTAGGCTGGGACAGTGGTCCACTCCATGACCCTGAGGCTGTCTGGGCAACTCCTTGTCAGGTGATGGGCCCAGCTGCAGCAGCCAGCTGCACATGGCGCGCGCAGCAGCCTTGGAGGCAACCCCAGACCAGGCTCCTACACCAGCCAGGCGGATCCCAGGGCCAGACGCCGCCCACCGGCTAATTCAGCTGGTCAGACCCCAGCTGCAGGAGGGCGGGAGCCGGCCGCTCAGCCATTTCCTGGCTGCTGCCCTGTACCCAGCGCTTGCACACCCCGCTGTGGGCTCCGGCAAGAAAGAGCTGACTCTAGGGTGAAAGGGCCCTGCACTCAGAGACCCCCAGGCTGTCTGGGACCAGCCCTGCCTGCCTCTGATGTAGGTTCAGCTGCAGTGGTAACCTGCACAAGGCGCGCAGCAGCAGCTGTGGCAAACTCCGACCCTGCCAGTGCCACCAGCAGTGCGGACCCTTGGGCCAGAAGCCTCCACAGCGCCTAAGTCAGGGTGTTGGTCCCCAGCTGCAGGAGGGCAGGAACTGGCACTCAGCCCCACCTCAGAGGCTGCATGATGCCCAGAGCCAGGGCCCAGCTCTTCTAGCGCAGGTTGTGGAGGGGCCAGGGGCCACCCAGACTGGAGGGCAGTGTCATGATCACAGCTCACTGAAGCCTCAACCTCCCAGTTTCAAGCTATCGTCTCACCTCAGCCTCCTGAGTAGCTGGTAGCTGGGACTGCAGGCGGGTGCCATCATGTCTGGCTATTATATTTTATATACATTTTGGAGAGACAGTGTCTCACCATGTTGCCCAGCAGGTCTTGAACGCCTGGAGTTCAAGCGATCCTCCCAACTTGACCTTCCTCAGTGGTGGTGGTGGGATTATATGTGTGAGCCACTGTGCCCTACCTGCCGCTTTTCTTATAAGGATACTTGTCATTGGATTTAGGGCCCATCTTAATCCAAGATGAGATGCCCTCATCTCGAGGTGCTGGATTTAATTACATCTGCAGATTGTTTTCCAAATAAAGGTACATTCACATGTTCCAGGTAGACATATCTTTTGATAGACCACCATGCAATCCACTCTAGGAGTATTAAAGTGCCAGTGTGGACCGAGGCACCAAAGAATCACATTATTATGTCATATAACTTGCCTTATTTGTAGTGACCCGTGGGCTTGGAAACAGAACCATTTGCAGCTGTCAGGGAAGTGCACAGTGCCTGACCTTTCCCGCAGCCTCCTCCCCACTGGGCTTCCATGAGAGGATCACCCCTTGGAGTGTCCAGAGATTCCTGTTAAATGCTAAAGACCACAGGAGAGTTTGGGCGGGGGAAGATGTTTGGGGAGCAACTTAGTTGTCCTGAGGTGCCCATCACCCTTCACCGTTTCAGCAATATGGATCTTCCAAGGATCTGGGAATGGGAACCAGGCATAAGACAGATACATGTGAGTGAGAAGAGGCCAGAGTCTTTCTCTGTGTAGGCACCATCCAGCCCAAGATGAGCATTGTTCCAGAAACACATGCACTCATGATGCTAAACCCAATCTATTGAGGACTTAATACAAACTGTGATTTTTTTAAGCATTTAATTCTTACCACAGTCCTTTGTCATCTTATTATCTCCATTTTACAGATAAAGAAACAGGCACAGAGGGTTTAAGTAACATGTACAAGGTCACACAATCACAACTAGTAAAGCCAGGATTAAAGTCCAGTCAGTCTGCATTCAAAGCCTGTGCTCCTGCCCCAAAATGACAAGTAATGACTTAAAGGCAAGAAAAACACACTCTCCTCTACCCACCATCCTCATACAGACTTCCAGCCCAGGATCTAAACCATTCATTCATTTGCTCTCATATTCATTCATTCATTCATTCAGTTCTTCATCACACATTTAGTGAAGCTCTGTCATGGAATGTCCAAACAGAAGGTACAAAAATGAGGCAGGTATATTTTCTCCCATCTAAAGGGGGATGACCACGTGAAGAGAACCGATGGGCTGTGTGTCCCATGGCCTTACAGGGCAGTGGTGGAGGGTGGCCCAGGTCATCCACTCTCTGGGGAGGCAGAACCAGAAGCACCAGTTGGACAACTGCTAAAGAGATGTTTGTGCAGCCTCATATGTTAAGTCCTATATTTTGAAAGCTTTTTAAATTTTTTCTTTAAGATTTTAGATGCTTACCACTGAGTACCAGAGGGATGTAGCCTGATGCCCTTATCAACAAAGTCAGGGATGGTGGCACACAAGGTTTGACTACTGCATACACGGTCACAGTGCTACCCCCAGATAGCCTGATTTCCCCTGCCTTCTCTGGTGGGGAGAAGGGCTGGCAGAGCCATTAGCATGGGCTTCAGCCAATCCTGGCCACTTTGATGCTCCTGGTGCTGACCCAGGGTCCTGGAGGATGGGCTGAGGCGGCGGGGTAGAGATGTTCAGGGCAGTGGCCCCTTTCCATCCACACTGGAACTATTTCAGTATTTTACCACCAATTCGGCTATTCCCTTATCGGCTGGCTGAACATCGGCCCTGCTCCAGGTCTCAGTTTCCCCTTTGTAAAGGGAAAGCCCTGGATTCAGGGGTGACTAGGTCATCATGGTCTTGAGATTCCAGGCCTGTAGGCAGGGGGAGAGAGGTTCACTAGGAGTGCAGAAGACCAAGGTTGGGGAGAGGCAGAGGAGAGAGTGGCCTCCCTTTGGCCCAGGTGGGAGATTCACAGAGACAACCTTCCTTCTTCTCCAAGGCAGGACTTGTTAACAGTGAGCTTCAGGCAGTCTGGCACTTGGGACTAACTAGGATGTCACCCTCCCTGCAGCCTCCACTCCATAGACAACATGAGAGGAGTGTGTAAGTATAACTAGGAACAGGCTAGTGTCCTGATATTCTCTGTGATAGAGGGGACAGCCCTCCTCAGAGACCCGGGGGAGCCCAGAACCATGGACAGCCTGAACACACTTTACTTTCTCAGCAGTGGCAACCAGAACCCTAGCCTACTAAAGCCGAAATTAAAAGGAGAAAAACCTAAATTCCTGCCTGTACCAGGCTGACTCACATCAAGGCCCTGCTAGGACTAAGCTAACTTTATATACAAGGCCAAGCAGAGCCCAGAAGGAATGGACTCCAGGAACAGGGATGAGAAGAACAAGTTCTTCTTATCAGCTTCCCCCTTTGAGATTCTTTCCTAGGCCAGTATGTCTTTGCTCTGCTCTCATAACTATTTTTGTAACTATTTCTGTAAGTTTGTAAGGATTTTGTAAGTTCCTGTTTTCCATCTGTGCAACACTGAGAAGGTCACAAGACATGTCTGAGCAAGCCTAAAATAGTAACCATCTGCTGAGGGCCTGCTGGACGGCCCAGCAGAGGTCACCAGGCATGTTTGAGTCATACACCTGTCACTGTTTGATTAACTGCCTTTGTTCTGCTTCTGTAAGCTTGCTAAGCCCACCCTGTGAGTTTCACGCAGCTGCATGCTTAAAAACCAGGCCCCATCTTTGTTCCAGGCTCAGCCTTTTGGATGCGAATCTACTAGGCCAGTGGCCACTTTAATAAAATCCTCCTGTCTCATCCATTGGTCTCTCCAGTCTCTTGAATCCCGCAACACTACAATGGCTCCAAGACAGCATGTGGGATCTAAGTAATAACTTTTTATTTTTTTTATTTTTTTTATTTTTGTACAAGACTGGGTCTGGCTTTTTCACCCAGGCTGGAGTGCAGTGGTGCAATCACAGCTCACTGCAGCCACCTCCTGGTCTCAAGCCACCCTCCCACCTTAGCCTCCTAAGTAACTTAGGACTACAGTTGTATACCACTATGGTTGGCTAATTTTTGTATTTTTTGCAGAGACAAGGTCTCACTGTATTGCTCAGGCTGGTTTCAAATTCTTGAGCTCAAGAGATTTACTAGTCTCAGCCTTCCAAAGTGCTAGGATTACAGGCACGAGACACCGTTCCTGGCCAGTAATTTTGTTTTATTATATTAAGGTGAGGTTTATACCACATTCTTCTGGTTACAGAAGTAATACGTGCTCATTGTATACACTGAAAAATGTAAGCAGTATAAAGAAGAAAATAAAAAAGGATATGAAAATCACTAGTGGTCCCATTGCCTACCGTAACATTATGTGCTGCTTCTTAATCTTTACTTCCTCTCCCTCCGTGTGTGTCTTTGTGTGTGTGTGTCTGTCTGTGTGGTTTTTTGTTTGTTTTTTTGGCACATAGTACAATAGCTGACATTTATATCTTCCCGACCAGTGTTGAGCATGGTGTTAAGCAATTGACAAAGTGTATTGTATTTAACTCCTACAGAAAACCTAAAAAGGGGAAGGGCAGTATAATTAATAGAATTTTCCAGATGAAAAGACTGGGGCCTGAGTTGAGGTTACATTTTATATATGGCATTATATTGTACTTCAGACATGTAACATAGTAAGTGTCCTGGAGAATCTTGGTCTGTTAGTCTGTATAATAACATAAGCATCTTTTGTGGGATTAATAGTTTTTCCAAAGCATGCCTGGGATGTTTGCATAATATTCTAGTGTTTAAATATGTTGCTTATTGCCAGGTGTGGTGGCTCATGCCTGTAATCCCAGCATTTTGGGAGTTCGAGACAGATGGATTGCCTGAGCTCAGGAGTTTGAGTCCAGCCTAGGCAACACGGTGAAACCCCATCTCTACTAAAATACAAAAAAATAGTGAGGCGTGGTTGGTGTGCCTGTATTCCCAGCTACTTGGGAGGCTGAAACAGGAGCATTGCTTGAACCTGGGAGAAGGATTTTGCAGTGAGCTGAGATCGTGGCACTGCACCCCAGTCTGAGCAACAGAGTGAGACCCCATCTAAAAAAAATGTTGTTTATCAAACCATTTTCATCTTTGAAACATTTCAGGTCTCTTCTTTGGCTTTTTCGCATTATTAATAATACTGTGATAAACATCCTTCAGCAGAAACCTTCATAGGCTAGCTTCCTAGAAGTAGAGGTATTAGGTCCAAGGTTTTGAATTGTTTTAAAGCTATTGATTTATCTGGATAAAATTGCTTCCAGAGATATTGTCCCATTTTGCTTTCCAATCAGTGGATCTCACCTTCAGTATTTTGTGCAATTAAAAAAAATAATGTTTCTCCTTTTAAAGATTATATTTAAAATAGCTTTTAAATATGAAAAATTTGTATCTACAAATAAGAGATAGTGACAAAAAATAAATAATAAAATAAACACAAGAGCAGAAAGTAGATTGAAACATTAAAATTCAAATCACAGGCCTCTGTTATGGAGAAGACAGCTGCAATAGCTTTTCTGTTCTTTTATCTACATTGGTAGGTTCTTCTTTTAATTAATTTTTACCCCAACTTAAGTGCTGGCTGGTTTGGCAATTTGTTGCTGGGATGGAAAGAAGAAATGTGCACCTTGTCTTTTGCAGGTTATGAGAGCCTTGTCTGTCCTTGTGGTTGTGTGGGTGTCTGTTAGATTATTGTGAATACTGAGCTTTGAAAATAACCTAACAGTCAATCAATTGCTGAGCTTCTATTACCAGTAGTGGGACATAATGTACATCATGTAGATAGGCAGGCTTGTCACTGACAAGGGGGCTGACCCCTGGAAAACCAGCACAGAGCCAGCTCTTCTGTGTGAATCCACTCTCTCCAGAATATACCATAAGTCATGGAAAGAAATAAGAGTCTCAGGAAATGAGACTCTTACCGCGATGAGAGGTGAACCTTGAAATCTATTTTAGCAATTAGGAAGAGAAGTCCCATTTCGCATCCCAAATCAAGTAGAGGCCTGCTAGTCCAAACATAGTTTCTGAATAACCTGAGTCACCTGGGCCCTGAGGAATCCTGGCCTCTTAGTCCACATTTGCAGAAATATCAGGAGGTCAATCAGGAAGCTGGTTAGGCAGCTCAACACAGGGTCAGAAAGCTCCTAGGTATGCAAATAAATGTGCACACTGGAAATTGAGTTCTGTAATTTTTCCATGACCTAGAAAATTACGATGATGAAAATGTTCTACATTCATGCTGCCTAGTTCAGTAGCCACTAGCCACATGTGGCTATTGAGTAATTGAGATGTGGCTAGTACAACTGACCAGCTAATGTTAAATTTTGTTTTATTTGAATTAATTTTAATTTTAATAGTCACCTGTGGCTATTGGCTACTGCACTGGATAGCACAGAGATGAGAAATAATAGAAACCTTTTTTGTTGTTGTTTCAATGGCTAACATTGTCAAAAGTTGAATTCCTGTTTTATGTAAAATTTTGGTTTATATTTTCTCAAAGAAGGGAAGTACAAAAAACAAAACAAAACAAAACAAAACAAAAGGATGATCAAGCAGAACTTTGGTAAGGAAGGGTGAAGCAGAGACACTTAACTCAGAGTGGGGAAAACAGCAATGACCTTGTTTGAAATGCAGCTCCTGTCTATGTGGCTCTCTGTGCTCTGTTGGGGTGTCAGTTCTTTACTTCTTAGTTAAAGCAGTTATTTCGGCGGTGCAATGCTTTTTTGTTCAATAAGCATGACTTTTTACACAGCTGGTTTATCTCCAGTATGGAAACTCTCTGCTTAATCATCTTGATTTCTCTGGGCTTGTTCCTACTCTGCAGATTTAAGCATGACACTTGTATCTCTCTCTCCAGGCTCTGATCTAGGATGACAGCTTCTATGATGTGCCCATCTACAGAAATATGCAAATTGCAACTTTAGGAAGATTAAAAGAGGGCCCTGCAAAAGGCATCTACAGGCCCCATGTGCTGTTCACCTTTCTTATTTATTGGTGAAGTGAGTCCTCATCCATTTATTGGGCAGTTGCAAGCAAAGGAATTAACTATGACAATTCACCTTGATGTACAACAATTTAGTCTGTTTGGAGTTTCCACTGTTGGAAAAAACCTAGTTATCCTAATTAAGAACAGTTACAGATAGTATAGTGATAGCTTTTTTTTTTTTTTTTTTTTGAGACAGGGTCTTGCTCTGTCACTCAGATTGGAGTGGAGTAGCATGATCATGGCTCACTGCAGCCTCAACCTCCCTGGGCTCAGTGATTCTCCCACCTCAGTCTCCTGAGTAACTGGGAATACAAGCACATGCCACCATGCCTGAATATTTTTTCTATTTTGTTTTGTTTTATTTGTTTTGTTTCGTTTTGTAGAGATGGGGTTTTGCCATGTCACCTAGGCTGGTATTGAACTTCTGGACTCAGGTGATCCTCTCTCCTCAGCCTCCCAAAGTACTGGGATTACAGGTGTGAACCAGCATGCCATGCCTATAGTGATACCTTTAAGTAACCCTCTCTTTTCTTCTTTTGGGCAATTTTTCAAAGCAACAGGCACTTTATTAAATAAGAAAGTTGATGTGCTTTCCTAATGCCTGCTAATAAAGTAAAGAACCAAGGAACCTCTGTGATTTCAATGAAATCCCTCCAGATGTTATAGGCTACTTGTTACAGACAGGTATGATAGGAAGTGTGGTCAAGCTGTGATAGGCAAATAGATCTTGCTGAAGAGGAAGAATGATTGGCTAAGATAATGTCCCAGGACAGCTGGCATACCTTTAGACACAGCTAAATTGAATGCTTTCTGAGGATGAGTGTATTAGTCTGTCTCACATGCTATAAAGACATACCTGAGAATGGGTAATTGAAAAAGAAAAGAGATTGAATTGGCTCACAGTTCTGTGGGCTGTACAGACTTATGCTTATAGGGAAGCCTCAGGAAACTTACAATCATGGCAGAAGGTGAAAAGGAAGCAAGCACATATTCACATGGCTGAAACGAGTCAGGGGAGGTGCTTTTTAACTTTTTAAACAAGCAGATCTTAGGATAACTTTATCATCAGACAGCACTAGGGGGATGAGGCTAAACCATTAGAAACCACCTCCATGATGCAAACACCTTCTACTAAGCCTCTCCTCCAACACTGGCAATTACAATTCCACATCAGATTGGGGATGCGGGGGTGCACAAATCCAAACCATATCAAGAAGCATGTTAAAAATTGAGGGAAGTTCTAATCAAATGGCAAGTCAGGACATGGCATTCCATCAACATAACACTCCTCTCAATACATTCCAAAATGGGAGAAAGGAAAAAGTGCAAGGATGAAGAAGGGACACAGCAAAGTGACAAGATGACTAACAAGATGACCCCTGTGGAAAGCATTTACTGATTCAACAACCAAATAATGAAGAAAATAAGAGCAAATTTGCTGAGTTTCTATGCTCTTTATGTTTATTAGGGAAGGGCAAAAGCCAGTCCCTCGACATTGTTACTGTTAATTAACATCATCACTGCCTGCTCTTAAGTGTCTAGATACTTTCAAGAATCTAGTATTATCCTCACTTAAATGTTTTTTGGATGTGCCCTGTCATGCATGTGATATTGCAAAAAGATTCTACATTAACCACAGCAAGATGGCTATGTAATAATTGGGATCACTTTAGGGGAGCATATTTCTACCACATTTTGAGATGGAAAATGAAGTAAAGATATCCATTTGTCAATTTCTTCTACATTATGCCAAACATTCAAAGAGATTATTTTATTTATTTCAAAGATGTACACATGTTGAAATTAAAATTTAAATTAAGAAAATTTATAAACTGAGTCAAAAGAAAAGTAAGCGAGGCAGTTCTGCACGCCCTGAAGTGTCAGGCATATATGACTAAAGTATTCGGCATTTGGCCAGGTGTGGTAGCTCATGCTGTCATTCCAGGATGTTGAGAGGCTGAGGCAGGTGGATTGCTTGAGCTCAGAACTTTGAGACCAAGCAAGGCAACATGGTGGAACCCTATCTCTACGAAAAATATGAAAATTAGCCAAGCATGGTGGTGCTCGCCTTTTTATACCACCTACTGGAAAAGCTAAGGTGAGAGGATCATTTGAACCCAGGAGGTCAAGGCTGCAGTAAGCTCTGGTTGCACCACTGCACTCCAACCTGGGTGCAAGAGGGGGACCCTCTGCCCAGGACTCTTGGGATATGACTATACCCATAGGGACTGCCCGCAGTAACCTCACATTTGAGTGGAAGTGGAGATCATATGTACCTGTACCAATATGTAGTGAAAAAGGAAAACATAAGAAATCATGGCAGAAATGGCACAAAGTATAAAAGAGGCTTGGTGTAATTGAGAGAGGCATTCTGGTGATAAAATTTGAACTGATTTCTGGAGAATGGGTTGAATTCCAATAGAGGGAGATGGACCAAAGTTAATTCTGATGAGGGAAATGTCTTGAGCAAAATCTAGAAAAGGGAAACATGCCCATTTTAAGTGTTAATGAGGGTCCAGTTGGGGTACAGTGCAGGAAGAGAGTTCTAGTGAAAAGGTAGTTGGTCTGATAGGACAGGGTCTTGCAGGCAGAGGCAGATACTATCATTATTCCATTGTTCAGATTGGAAAACAGACACAGAGAGCCCAAGGTCACAAAGCCAGAAAGTGAATCTGGGCAGTCTAGCGGTAGCACCCTCTTCTTAAATGATCTATTAAAGGGCCTCTTCTCCAGGCACTCTAAAACTCTTCTCCATCTTTAGCTCCCCCAGAGTACAGTGAGGCCCCCTGTCTACCTCACATGATGGGGTCTCAGAAAAGCAACAGATCCCAACTCATACTAGCTTTTAAATAAAAAAAAAAAAACCTTGCAAAACAAGAAGTGCAGAGGTTGGGAGAGAGCCAGCACTGGTTAATTCAGCAGCTCAACAATAAATCCAAGACCTGGGTATTGGTTCACCTCTCCACACCACCATCCTCATGGGCCAGCTTCTACCTCCTCCTGAATGCTGTGTCTTTGCCTAGTTTTCTCCCTGATTTTAGCTCAAGTGCTGCTTCCTGGGGGCAACCTTTCCTGCCTCCCTCTTGGGGTCAGTCCACCTTCCCAGGCTCTTGCAGCACCCCTGGGTCTGCTGAACTTTCCCTTGTTACATAATTCTGTGACTAACATCACCTCTTTCTGTTAGACTCTCAGCTCCACTAGAGAAGAAATTCTGTGCATTTTTGCTCACTATTGAACCCTGGAGTCTACTACTCAAATATTTGTCAAATGAGTAAATGGTAGCTCTGTGCAGGGCCGAGGAACACAAGAACCACAAGAAACATGCAATCTGCCAAAATACTCATTACAGCTCACTCTCCTCTGGTGACATTTCCCTGAGGCACATTCCTGTTGGTTTCTTCCCCTCAAGAAGCATTCTTCTTTCTCCTTCCTATAAAAGCCAGGATTTTCTCAGATAGCCACACCATGCCCCATGCAAAGAGATTTGGATTATTCTATCATCTTGAGGCATTTCTGTGGAAACTGCTGTCAGTCCAGGTGGCCCATGACCTAAGCTGACCCAAGCCGACTGAAGGGAGGACGTATTCTATGCACTCTATGCAGTTCCACAAGGTGCTGGTTGTCCCGGCTGCTGCTGGTGGTCTTCATGTAGCCAAGGTATCACTAGTGCATATGGAGAAAACAGAGCAACTGGAGAGAAACCGAGTAGGTAAAAGTGGGCAGGGCTTGGTGATGTTTGGGGATATGATATGAGCGATAAGACAGAGGATGGTCTTAGGAAAATCTCCTGTATTTTCCTTTTGGACAATGGTATAAATGAATAAAAGTTCCAATCACTGGGATAGAAAACACTTGGAAAATATGAGATTCATTCAGGCAAGCCTTTCATACACTATTCCATAATCAGTTTCATAAGTGAAAGGGAGTCAGAACTCATTTCTACCTTGTTTGCTTCTATCATACTGTGTTGTACCCTGTTGGATCTACTTATCACATTCCTCCTGCTAGTGGACTTACCTGCTAATGTTTGCACTTCTGCCTTGCCAGCATGGAACCTCTGAGACAGCAGGAGCAGTGTGTGTGCATGCATGTGTGTGTGCACTTTTGTGTGTGTGTGTGTGTGTGTGTGTAATTGGATTCCCCACAGCACATTATTGTTTTATCCATAGTAAATGGTGGATGAATATTTGCAGGATTTAGCTGGACTGCAGCATTGTGGAGGTCAGATAACCACATTTTGACAGACAAGTTGCATTCTAACCTTGAAGCAGACAAAATGCCCATCTTATCAGCCTCGCTCACATCAGCTGTGCCTTTCCTTTGTGGTTGTATGTTTATGAAGCTCATCCAACAAGCTTCTTAAAAAGGGGATTGGACCTTCGCCAGCCTCAGGCTGCATGGCAGGGTGACTGTGTCTTTGAATATCCCAGATGGAGGCTGGTCACCCTTTTGTCTTTGGGTGAATAGACTACTCAGGAAGGCAGGGATGCAGGCACCCCCATTTCTTGTTAATGAGTTTGCAATTTATTTTGGCAGATCTAAAATAATAATTCAAAGGCAGTGTAGAAGAAGATGGGGACATTACTTTTAATTGTTTAATATTGTTATGACATGACATGTGCTTACAGAAAGAGAGGCAAGCCACCATCTTCAAGGGAGGGCATAGTCATCGACTGTGATCCTGGTGTCCATGTTGGAATATCATGGCAACTGTCTCCCAGCACTGAACTCGATGACTTCTGCTGCATTCCCAGTGTTAGCTGAGTTGCTTAATTTACTTTCTTCAACGCCATGTGTGAAAGGGAAGCTAGAAAACTGCACTATGTATGGCTTCGTGCACTGAAAATTTGACATTATCAAAGGAGGCATGATCTTGTTTCTCTCCATCCCTCTCCAAATGTTTTCTATAATTATATTCAGAGGCTCATGGGTCTTACCATGGGTGATCAAGGAAGGGCTGGTAACTCTTTCAACCACAGGTAAAATATTACAAACATCTGAAATATGCATTTTTACAGGTGAGAGAAATGAGGCCAGAAAAGTTAAGTGCATCATGTTGAGTACAATTTTATTTGGTGATCAGGCAGCCCTGGGTTCAAATCCTGGCTCTATTGCTACCAATTAAGCCACTTAACTCCATCTGAGCCTCAGGTTGCCCATCTGCATAATAAGCAGTAATAGCAGCTGTCCTGCAGGACTACTGTGAGAATTACAACTCAGGCAATGATCATGATATTTCTTGGCACAGAGGTGTTCACTACCTAGGTAGTGTTATTATTATTAGGCCTAAAGTCACAAAGGGAGTTTTTGAGAACGCTGGAATGAAAACTTGTTCCTCTCAGCTCTGAGCTTATTAGAGCCCACCGTTTTGCATGAATAAAGCAGCCCTGGAGTCTCTCAGGGGAGGGTGTTTGTAACATCTGTTCAGGCACGGTTTCATTTGCTATATACCCAGAGACTAGCACGGTACAAGTTGTGGGGAGATACTCATGTGAGTTGGCGGACTTTGGGTCAAATATTTTCCCTAAACCCAGGTCTCTATGGCATTCTACAGTACACTCTGCATCCTTCTAAGGGACACTGGAAGAGCAAATGGATTGTACAGTGAGTTACAAATAAAATGGCCAATCTCAGCATGAAAGGCTGGGGGTGTTACCTGAATGAGGATGCAGACCACTCCATCTACATACAAGCAAACCTAAGTGACCATGAGCCTGCCGGAAAGAAATCACATGCTATGTAAAGGCTTAGTAACAGTGATGAATATTTGAACTTGAACTCCAGCTCCAGAGCAGTTCAGTGGCCTCTCTTCCAGGAACAGAAGCCAAAGCAGCTCAGGATTCTTGAAGGCTCTGAAAGGTCAATGACAATCCTGGTATATGTCAAGACTTTCCCACCAAAGAAGGGCTCCATGTGTAGAGACTTAGAAAGGATTCCCAACTTCCGCCCCTTCAAAACCAGAAACAAAGGTGGGGGACAGCCCAATTAAGTGGCCCTAGAGATTTGCCCAGGAGCTGGAGCCCTCCGGAGAAGTCCAGTTTTCCTATGCAGGGAGAGGACTGGGAGTTCTCTGGTCACAAGCGTTCTGCCTTTGTTTTCATGAAGCTATGTCTCTTACCTGGTAAGAAAAATGGAACTTCATGCAGCTGCTGAAAACTTTAACCAAAACCCAAAGATGCTGGCACAAAGAAAGGAGGCCTGAAGAAAACAAGTGACCATGGAAACACATTTAGCTCTTAATCTGACCAATTTCTCATGGGCCAGGCCTGGTGCCAGGAATGCTGTGATGAATAAGGCCTGAGCTGAGATTGTGAGGATGAGACGGAGTCCACCCTGTGGGGATCTGGGATGATAGAAGGGCTCCGCAGATAGAGGACCCGGTGGCCAGAAGTTCTGCTGAGTGGAAAAGGGCTCGGAGTAACTGAGGTCAGCTGGATTCCTTAAACATTGCCCAGAGCCCTTGAAGCCATCTAAGGGCACACTTCTCAGGCCTGCTCCGAACCACACTCAACTGGGAATCTTTTAAGGACAGCTGCTCTGTTAGGCTTGCCTGAGATGGTGCAGTTTTCCCCCGCGGCGGCAGAGGCACAGACAGTTAAGAATGCAGGAGCGGGGCCTCACAATGCCTTGGACTAGGGCAAAGGAGGACCCCCGCCTCTCCCCTCCCGGGGCTAAGACATGGGAGGACCCCGACCGGTGGATCCATTGACTCTGGCACCAGAGGATCCCCGCTCTCCAGCGCCCTAGACTGAGGCAACAGAAGACCTCAGACCTGCTCCATCCTGAACTAGAGCACAGTGGGACCCGCGACCTGCCGTGGTCTCAGGCACTGGAGGACACCTGCAACGCCGTGCGCTAGACTATGCTACTGAAGGACCTCTACCGCGGCTCAGCCCTGGACTAAGGCACCGGAGGATCCCCGCCCTGCCCCGCCCCGCGGTGTCCTGGACTGTGCACTGCAGAACCCCCACCCTTCCACACCCTGGACTCTGGCTCCCGAGGACCTTGGCCCCGGCTCGCCCTGAACTACTCCTGCCCCTCAGCGCCCTGGACTGTGGTTCCAGAGGACCTGGTCCTGGGGCAACTTGTGCTACCGCGTGGACTCCAGGACCCCAGTCCTTCCACGCCCTAGACCAAGACACGGGAGAACCTCTGACTCGCCGCCCCCGAACTAGGGCACCAGAGGACCCACACCTTGCCGTGCCCCGGACTACAGCACGGAAGGACCCCCGATCCGCCGGGCACTGGGCTCCTGCACAGAGGGACCCCCGCCATGGAGGTCTGGACTACCCCTGCCCCACCGCACCCTGGACTACTGCACGCCAAGACCCTCGCCTGAACACGCCCTACACTCTGGCATGGGGGAACCCGGCCCCGCAGAGCCCTGGACTCTGGCATTGGAGGACTCCTCGGCTAGGTTCTGGACTCCTGCACCAGAGGACTCCTGCCCTGCCACACCCTGGACACCTGCACTAGAGAACCCTGCCCCGTCGCCCCCTAGACTATGGCACGGGAGGACCCCTGCCACCGACTTCGGCACGGTAAGACCCCTGACCCGCCTTGCACTGGATTCCAGCACTGGAGGACCCCCTGCCACGGCGCTCTCTGGACTACCCCTGCGCCACCGCGTCCTGCACTACAGCACAGCAGGACCGCCGTCCCACCGCGCACTGGACTGAGGCACAGCAGCACCCGGGCCTCGTGGTTGGTGGACCGCAGGACGAGGTGACCCCCCGCCCCGCTGCGCGTTGGACTATGGCACAGGAGGACCACCATTCCCGCATGCCCTGGACCACTGCAGGACAGGTCCCCCACTCCGCAGCGGCCTGGAATATGGCACTGCAGGACCCCCGCCCTGCTGCTCCACGGACTCCACCACTGAAGACCCTCGCCCCCCTGCACCCTGGACAAAGGCACGGGAGGACCCGGCTTCACCGCCCAGTGGGCTATCGCATAGGAAAACCCCCAGCCCACCCCCATCGCGCCAGAGACTCTGACAAGAGAGAACCCCTGCCCCCTGCTCCCCGGACTACAGCAAGGCAGGAACCACCCTCCTCCAGGATCCTCACTATGGCAACTGTGGAACCCCGCCCTGGTACGCCCTGGACTAAGTCACCGAAGGACCCCGACCCCACCACACCGTGAACTCCAGCACTGGAGGACCATTGCCTTACTGCGGACTCAAGCACTGGACTATCGCAGGGCTGGATCCCTGTCCCGCCATGCCCTACACTATGGCACGGGAGGACCCAGCCTCACTGAGCTCTGGACTCCAGCACCGGAGGACACCTACACGGAGGACTCCTGCTCCGCCACGTCCTGGACTCCTGCACAAGAGAACCCCCGCCCCGCGGCACCCTGGATATAGCAAGGCAGGAATCCCGCCCTGCAGTGTTCTGGACTGCGGCACCTGAGAATCCATGCCCCACCGCGCCCTGGACTGCTGCTCCACAGGACTCCTGTTCCACTGCACCCTGGACTATGGCACCAGAGGACCCAGCTCCCGGCAGCCTGGACTATGGCACCAGAGGACCCAGCCCCTCGCATCCTGGACTATGGCACCAGAGGACCCAGCCCCCTGGCGTCTTGGACTAAGGCACAGTAGGACCCCGCAGCATCGTGTACTCCTGCACAGGAGGACCCTCGCAGGGCTGCGTCCTGGACTGAGCTACTGAAGGAGCCTCACCCCTGCCTCACCCTGGTCTAAGGCACTGGAGAACTCTTGCTCCGCAGAGCTGCGGACTCTTGCACGAGAGAACCTGCGCCCAGCCGTGCCCTGGACTGTGGCACAGTAGGGCCCACACCGGGCCATGGACTCCTGTACTGGAGGAAGAGTGGTGATAAATGTCCAGGTTTACAAGTTGAAAAGTAGCAGTCAATGTGCTACAATGGATGGATTTGATGTAAAATTACAAATGCTGAAAACATTATGTGTAATTGCCTAGCCAGATCAACTACACAAGACAAAGAAATAAAAGAAATCCATATAGGGAAGGAAGAGGTAAGATTGTTTCTGTTTTCTGAAAATATAATCTTAAGATACAGAAAATCTTTTTTTATTATTAATGTTCTATTTACTTATTTTTATAATATTTTATAAATAAACTTTATTCATATAAAACAGGCCAAACATCTGACATTCAAAAATGGCTACTGTTATAAAATCAGAAACATAGTCAGAGTGTTGGGAATATTGAAATTTCTAAATCTTTATGAATAACACAATCACTTAAGTTATATCCACAAAGAACAGAAAAGAGGCAAGCTTGAAAATATGAGGATAGAAAGATGTCACAGTGATGTGTTTTTAGAAACAGTACCTTCACCTCTAAGCAACTTTCAGGTAGGTGATAGCTAGCTCATAGGCACCAGAAATTCATAACAGAAATTAAATTACCCAAAAGGCACAGAAGAAAATGTTAACACAAGTATAAAAGTAATTTTATGTAAGGTTAAAACCTATTTTTAAAATGCTTCCAAATATGTAAAACTATACACAAGTCCATTACACATTCAGCTTAAGTTTACCATTAAAAAGTGTACACACAATACTGTAACTGTAAATACATGCCACCGTTTATAATGTAGCATTTACCACCACAGCACCCAAAGATATTAACAGAAACCAACTCCCCACTAAAATCTAGGGAAAGGTTTTAGAGCTAGTGAAATAATTTATTGCAGACCGTATTTATTATAAAGAAACTATTGGCTCATTCTACTGTATCCACACTCCCTCACAATCTTAAGGGAGATACAATAAGTCCACTCTCTTCTCCTAAAATGATATTTAGCACATTTGACAAGGAGGAGTGGTTGCTTTATTCCTTTTTCTTATCTTTTTTTCTTTTTCTTTTTTTCTTTCTTTCTTTTTTTTTTTTTTTAAGAATAAATCACTTTCACAAAACTGAGACTCAAACTTTTTTGAAGCTCAGCTTGATTTGCTGGAACTACACAGAGACATGTTTGATCACACAACAGCAACTGTACATCCTCCCAAGTCTGGAATACGGAATTGATGGAGGACACTTACTTGCTTAAAATGTATTTGATTATTCTGCATTTATGATAAAAATATCATCCAGGGATCATATTCAAGAGGGTAAATTTAGGATTACATGTTTCTAGAACATATAACATGTAATGCCATCCAAAACCAACAACAAACAACATAGAGCACTGAAACCGAAGAGCCACTTAAAATTTAGAATTAGGAAATTTCAATCTATAATTGCCAAACAATAAGTGAGTTATAATATTTTTCTAATTAGAAAAATATCACCTAAAGTGGAAAGCCAGCATTTAGTTGGGGACTATGAGATACTACATCCTTGGTCTGGCTGGCCACCATTTTAAAGACCACCACAGATCTCAAGGCATGAGACCTCTCACCAACAAAATCTATCCCTGCTATTGCACCTAGTGCCATCTCAATATGTGGCAGACAGCAAATGTTCTAACTTAATCTGATAGATGCTCCTTTAGCATATAAAAGAGCTTGCTAAGTCCCTATTACCTGTAGCAGTCTATCAACTAAATATTTAAGAAGTCATTTCATAGGCAAGGTTTATGAATGACTTAGAAGTAAAATTAGTAATTTCTAAACCACTGTAGTGTTTTCTATGTTTTTAGAGATATTCCTAACACAGAGTTTTCCGAGGAGCTGTGAAAACAAGTACAAACGTACATAAGTAATTTTGTCAGGGATGTTTCTGTACTAATTTGGGGGAGACTTGTGGGCCATAAATAAATGAGATACACATCCTAAAAATAATGGTAAAAATTATCAAGTACCACTTTCAGATGGTTACTCAAGTATCAACTTGGTATGCAAGTAAGTTCACGGATTTCTTCACCTATGATTTCATACTCAAAGTGCTACATCTTACTTAGGTACTGATAACATTTAGAAACCTTTATAATCAGCCTCTTAAAGAAAATCCAGCCTTTTCAGATGGTAAACTTGTCTTTACTAACTTTAATGCCCGTAACTATTTCGATATAACCAAACAAAAATTTTTAAAAATATATTCCTTACAGCTCCTGATTAACTTATTTTTTGATACATTCTGAGGCTAGTAACAAAATTTAGACCAGAATAGGTTTTCATATATCAAAAAAAGGAAAGGAACACGGAGAGCACAGATGAGACGTATGGAGGCTCTATACTATAGACCCATCCTTGCTCTGTGCGGGAATCATCACAGGAATCGCGCCCATTCGACTTAGATTAGGGGCAGCTACCTTAGCAGGTGGGAGAGTCGGACTCTGAGGAGTGCGTTCAAAGTCTTCACTTGGTACTTGTTTATACTGAGTCTTGGAATATCCTTCCATGTTGGAAGGAGATATGGATCCCAGGGATGAATGATTACTGCCTATGTAGCTTCTGGCAGTGGACGTGCGGCTCTTTGGAGGCGGCACATCTTCCTTGATATCGTGATGAACTTCCTTTTCATATTTTTCTTCTCTGCACTTTTTACGACAGCAAAAGATGATAAGACCAATGAGCACTAGAGCAAGCAAAGTTCCTATAATGGCTCCTGCAATTAGTCCAGCTTTATTTGAAGGAGGGACAACGTTTACACGCAACAGGCACTGATCAGAGCCCACTCTGTTTCTGATGTACAGCTGTATGTCCCAGAGTACTCAGAAGAAGCATTTTTATAGATATAACAGATGAAGTCATTTCTGCTAACCATGAAGTGGGCATTTTCTGTGAGTCAGACAATTTTTGCCACTCATACTGTAATGGAAGTGAACCTTCTTTTGGTTCACATTTTAATTTAAAGTCACTTCCAATTTCTTCTGATCCATCAACGTAACATCTTGTACCTGAAGGCTTACCAAGAACTACCAGCTGAATCTTCCTATTTGCAACACCAGGAGCTCTTTTCACTTTGCACTGATCTGTGCCAATATCTGACAGCTGAAAATTCGTTACATTTATTGATGCATCACCAGATTTGAGATCATTACTCTTAAAATGTACTCGGCCTTTCAGATCTGGATAGTAGTCATCATAAATTTTGTCTCCAGAATATAAAATAATCACTTGATCCACCTTCTGATTATCAGCTGGTGATATCAGCCACTCGATGTCCAGTGGTCCCTGGTCTTCAGGACTAAGCGTAAATTTGCATGGCAGATAGGCAGTTTCCCCTTTGGCTTTTTCAATCATCTGCTCAGGAGTAGTGATACTCCAACCTCTGATGAAATCCGCGACTCTGCACAGGAGCACGAAGCGCAGCAGGAGCGCCATGGTGGCTGCCGTGCCGTGGGCGGCGGCTGCAGGTAGGCGGCTCTCGCTCCAGGTCCTAGGCTCCCCGCGCCTGGCGCACTCAAGGTAGAGAAAATCTTAAAGACTCCACCACAATAAACGGTTAAAGCTGATAAAGAAATTCAATAAAGTTAATAGTTACAAAATCATACAGATAGCATTATTGTTTCTATACATTAATGACAAACTATTACCTGAAAAATAAATTAATAAGGCAATTCAATTTATAATAGAATCAAAACAGATATAAAAATATGTAAAAGACTTAGGAGTAAATTTAATCAAGAATGTGAAAGATTTGCACACTGAAAACTATAGCACATTGATGAAAAAAGTTAAAATGGCATAAATAAATGGAGAAACATCCTTTATTGATTGATTCAAAAATTAGTATTGTAAAAGTGTCAATGCTACCCAAAGCAATCTACAGATTAAATGCAACCACTATCAAATTCCCAGAAATAGAAAAATTACTGCTAAAATTTGTATGAAACCACAAAAGACCCTGACTAACCAAAGCAATCTTGAACAAAAAGAATAAAGCTGGAGGCATCAGACTACCCGATTCCAAACTATATTACAAAGCTATAGTAATTAAAACAACATAGCAGTGGCATAAAAACAGACATGTAGAACAGTGCAAAGGGATATAGAACCCGTAAATAAATCCGTATGTCTGTGGTCAATTGACTTTTTGATAAAATAACTAAAAATACACAATGAAGAAAGAAAATTATTTTCAATAAATGGTGTAGAAAAAACTGACTATCCACATACAGAAGAATAAAATTTGACTTTTCTTTTGCTCTTTATACAAGCATGAAATCAAAATTAAAGACTTAAATGTAAAACTACTACAAGGAAATACAGAAGAAGACTGTATGACATTGGCCTGAGCTATGATTTTCTGTAGATTATTCCAAAAGCACAGGCAACAAAAGCAAAAACACATGAATGAGATTGCATAAAACTAAAAAGCTTTTCCACAGGAAAAGAAGTGATAATAGAATGAAGAGAACCCACAAATGGGATAACATTTTTAAACCATACATCAGATAAGGGGCTCATATAATAATATATAAGTAACTCAACCTACTCAAACATAAGAATAAAACTATGCTTATTAAAAAAAATAAGCAAAGAACCAGAATAGACATTTCGTAAGGCATACAAAAGGCCAACAGGTACATGAAAAAATCATAAACATTTCTAATTATCAGAGAAATGCAAATCAAAGCCACAATGAGATATCACCTCACACATTTTACTAGGGCTATTATAAAAAAAGATGGAAGATAAGTGTTGATGAGGATGTGGAGAAAAAGAAACCCTGTGCACTGTTGGTAAGAATGGAAATTAGCACAGCCATCTTGGAAAACAGTATGAAGCTTCCTCAAGAAATTATAAATATATTTACCCTATGATCCATCAATCCCACTTCTGGATACGTGTCCAAAGGAATTTTAATCAGTATGTCAAAAACAGACATCTGCAATTTCATGTTCATTGCAGCATTATTCATAATACCCATGAATTAGAAACAACCTAAGTGCTTATCAACTGAAGACTAGATAAAAATATGTGGAAAAATTGGAACCCTTCTACACCACTGGTGAGACTTTAAAATGTAAAGCAGTCTCGCAGTTCTTCAAATGGTTAAACATAGAGTTATCACGTGACCCAGCAATTCCACTCCTATGTGTTTACCAAAAAGAAAATAAAACAAATGCTACACAAACAGTAGTACACAAATGTTTATAGCAACACAAAGTAGAAAACAACAGAAATGTTCATCAGCTGAGGAGTGGATAAATAAAATGTGGTGTGTCCATAAAATAGAATCTTATTTAGCAAGAAAAGGTAAAAAACTGTTAATGCATGCTCCAAAATGGATGAACATTAAAAATATGTTAGGTGAAAGATGTGAGTAAAAAGTGACTATGTGTTATTATAATTCCATTTATGTGAAATGTCCAGAATAGGCAAATTCATAGTCAGAAAGTAGACGAGTGGTTGCCTAGACTAGGAGGGGTTTAAAAAAGACTGGAGAAAATGGGGAAAGATTGCTAATGGGCGCAAGTCTCTTTTAAGGAAAATAAAATGTTCTAAAATTATATTATGATGATTATTTGTCCATCCAGTTAATATACTAAAAGAATTTGAAGTTTGTACTTTAAATGAGTGAATTACACAATGTATAAATTATATCTCAATAAAGCTGTGGAAAGTTAAAAGTATATGTAGGATGCATACAAAAATACTACTTATCTTTATAAATGAATGAAAATCTGTCATTTGCAAAAACATGGATGAATTTAGAGGACATTATGCTAAGTAAAATAAGCCAGACACAGAAAGACAAATATCTCATAGTATCACTTATATGTGAAATCCAAAACTGTGCACTCATAGAAGTTAAGAATAGAATGGTGGTTTATCAGAGGCTGAGCAGGGTGGGGAGCAGGGGTGGAAAAAGGGGAAATATTGAATGGGATAATGCTTCAGTTAGGAGAAAGACATTCTGGTGATATGGTGCACAGCAAAGTGACTGCAGTTACTCATAATGTAGTGCATATCTTAAAAGTGCTAAAATAGTACATTTTAAATGTTTCACCATAATGTAATACATATCTGAGGTGAAGGATACGTTATTTAGCCTAATTAGTCCATTTCACAATATCTACATGTATCGTACCACATTGTACCCTATATATATTTATTTATCAATAAAATCAACATTTTAAAAAGTGAGGAACACAGATGTGCTAGATCTTCATCTAAAGACATTTCTGAGAAAAGTGTATCTGTTTTCTTTCAGAAGAAATTTACACTTAATAGATATTATGGTAACTAAAGTAAGGCAGATAATTTTGGCCATCAGCTTTTATTGTGGGATAATCTCTTTTTGCTGACCTTGTAAAAGCTGTGGCATATTAACAAGTAGGAACATTTTTTTTATCATGATCAGGTAAAGATTCTGCAAGTTTCTATTTTGAATATTTCCCCAGGAATCACAAAGTGTGAATGCCTTTTATTTCAGAGGTCTAGCCCTAAATGGTTTAGTCAATTACATCATGCATTCTGAAATAAGTACTGGTGCATTTGGGAAGGTACTATATATAATTGTGTTTTAAATTTAACTATCATATAAATCTACTTTTCTAGTTAACAGTTTATATTTTATAGAGGCCCTCCATATACATAAGAGCTTTTCTGATAGTATATCCATTAGATTTCAAAGATAAGTAAAGGAACAATTTTGCTTTTATTTATTATTATTATTATTTTTTAAGGCTAGTCAAGTGAAGCAGTGGGAGTGGAGAAGGAACTGCTTTAATTTTTATATGTTGGTGTTACAGGCTATATGTGACAGGCTGTATATTTTTCTGCTGAATTTTAGAAACAAAATGAAATATTTATTTCCTATTTCATTAGATTTAGGGATGATGATTACATTGAGGGGTTGGGACTAGACTGAAGGCACCACATCATCAATCACTTGGAAACAATATTTTGCCTATGTGTTATGTTATATTGACAAAAACTTTTATTGTGGCAGGCAATATAGCTCCCTATTGAAATATGTGAAAAATGTAGAGAAAAAAGGACAATATTAGTTATCAAGGGATATTTAGGCCTGAGATGCATGATGCTAATATTCAAAACATACACTTTTTAAAAATTAGATTTAAAATGTAAATTGAAGCAGAACATTTAGAAAAAGACATAATATCTACTATAAAAGTCCTGGGTTAGAAAAGTTAAAATGCTAAATGAAAAAATAATGCTTCTTGGGTGGCTTAAAATCGAATATGAGACAAAAGATTACTCAGAAATTTTTCTAAGATTAAAAACGTGTATACAGTTTCTTTGATATAAAATGAAATAAATGTCTGGATATAACTTTAACAGAATAGAATAGGGAGACAAGGGCAACGAGCAGGTGTATGTAGAATAAAGTGAACATATTATTGTAATAATGAGAGGGACAGAGTTGAATGATTGCTCTTGGAGACAAGGGATTTTGATGTCTAAGTTAATGACAAATCTTTTGTTTGCAAGTTTAAAAATGTAACTTAAACCTGGTGAAGGAATAAAGGGTGGTTGGAGGGATGATTCTTTGTACACTAAACTTATTTTAATGACTAATGAATTAATCATAAGTTCAAATGATTTTATGGAGGCCCTTTCTTTATTTGATATTTCTGGACTCCTTTTTTCTTTGTGTGTGCTCCATTTTTACCTACTTGAACAATTTTTACCCCCAAAGTTTAGGAAACACTGTAACCAAATGTTCCAACATGATATAATCCCTGAAGGCATTTGCAGCTGGGGGAGTAGGGGAAAAGGGGTTTCTCTTTCAACAAATGCATGTTAACCTCGGTGAAAACTCAGAAGTTTAAACATGGTCCCCCTTGCGTCATGTGGCTACCCCAGGACCAATCATTGCACCAGACATAGGAGATAATCTCAAAAGCCAGGTTGGAGTCAAGGTTCTCCAGTGGAATTTCCACTTTAGAAATCAGTTTTGTCAGGCTTTGTGTTTGCATATTACAGACATGATAGCCATATAGCTATCTATTCCAGTAGAGATGAAAACCTAAGAGCATATGCCCATTCAAAGGATTTTACATGAATCTTCATAGCAGCTTTACTTGCAACAGCCAAAACCTGAAAATAGTCCAAATATCCATGGACAGGTGAATTTGTGACTTATAAACTTACTATGGTATCTGTATATAATGAAATAATACTCCCTAGTAAGAACAGAACAATTGATAGATGTAGCAACATGAATAAATCTCAAAAATAGTGATGCTGAGTGATCAGAAAGTATACATACCCTATGATTTTATGTATTTGGAAATAAAAACTCACGGATAGTGACTAGAAGTGGATCAGTGGTTGCCTGTGGATGGAATGGGGATAGGCAGGAAAAAGTGAGTAGAAAAAGCACAAGGAAACTTTGGTGGTAAAGGTAATGGATATGTTTGCTATTTTCATATGTTGTTGGTTTTGTAGAGCTACAAATGCCAAGAATTATCAAAATGTACAATTGAAGTATGTGCAGTTTATTGCATGTAAATAAACCTTTTAAAAATTAACCGATACAAATTGACTTACATGACCAGAAAGCTCTTGAAAAACTCTCCTGTTTTCTCCCCTATTTTTATTCTTGCATGCCCTTATAGCCTGTGTTAACACATTTCTCATCTTACCGTTATTTTGTGTCTACATTTCACCAAGTCAATATAACTATCACCATAATTTCTTGGTTTCTCTTTAGTTCATTAGTAATTATGAGTAATGTATTGAAATGTTAAAGATATGTTCATGCATTCAGAATGCTCTGCTCTCTGATCCACATAATAGTGAATTATGCTCTCAATAATTACACAGTATAGTACTTTTTTTTTTTTTTTTTTTTTTGAGACGGAGTCACACTTGGTTACCCAGGCTGAAGTGCAATGGTGCATTCTGGGCTCACTGCAACCTCCACCTCACGGGTTCAAGTGATTTTCCTGCCTCAGCCTCCTGAGTAGCTGGGATTACAGGCATCTGCCTTCATCCCCGGCTAATTTTTGTATTTTTATTGGAGACAGGGTTTCACCATGTTGGCCAGGCTGGTCTTGAACCTCTGACCTCAGGTGACCTGCCTGTCTTGGCCTCCCAAAGTGCTGGGATTATAGGCATGAGCCACCACCCCTGGCCAGAATATTGCTACTTTTGCAAATAGCTACAATTGACCCTGATCTGGACTTTGAGTTGATCACAGCTTTGTAAAAGAGGATAGCATTGTAAAACTGCAAAATTAGACTAATAATAACATAGAATGCTTTCAGTATAAGAAATAATACTATCCTAAGCAAAAATAAATAAATAAATAAAACTGGAGGAATTATATTATCTAACTTCATATTATACTACAGAATTACAGTAACCAAAAGAGTAGGGTACTGGCATAAAAAGAGGCCCATAGATCAATGAAACACAATAGAGAACCCAGTAACAAATCTACATACCTACAGTGAACTCATTTTTGACAAAGGTGCCAAGAACATACACTGGTGGGAAATGGTGTTGAAAAAACTGGATATCCATATGCAGAAGAATGAAAACAGACTAGTATCTATCACTGAATACAAAAGTAAAATCAAAGTTGATTAAAGATGTAAAGCTAAGACCTCAAACTATAAAACTAGTACAAAAAAACTTTGGGGGAAATCTCCAGGATATTGGTCTGGGCAAAAATATCTTGAGCAATACCCCACAAGCACAGGCAACCAAAGCAAAAATGGACAAATGGATCACATTAAGTTAAAAGCTTCTGCACGGAAAATGATACAAGCAACAAAGTTAAGAGATAATCCACAGAATGAGAGAAAATATTTGCAAACTACTCATCCAACAAAGGATTAATAATCAGAATATATAAAAAGCTCAAACAACTCTTTAAGAAACAATCTAATAACCTGGCTAAAAAAAAGGGGGCAAAAGATTCGAATAGATATTTCTCAAAAGAAGACCTACAAATGGCAAACAGGTATAAGAAAAGGTGCTCAATATCACTGATCATCAGAGAAATGCAAATCAAAACTACAATGAGATATCATCTCACCACAGTTTATATGACTTGTATGCAAAAGACAGGCAGTAACAAATGCTAGCAGGGAAGCAGAGAAAAGGGAACACTTGTACATTGCTCCTGGGAATGTAAATTAATAAAACCACCAAGGTGAACAGTTTGGATGTTTCTCAATAAACTAAAAGTTGAGCTAGCATATGATCTAGCAATCCTACTGCTGGGTCTCTACCAAAAATAAAGGAAATCAGTATGTCAAATACATATCTGCACTCCCATATTTGTTGCAGCACTGTTTACAAAACTAAGATTTGGAAGAAACCTTAGTGTCCATCAACAGATGAATGGATAAAGAAAATGTGGTACATATACACAATGGAGGACTATTCAGCCGTAACAAAGAACAAGATCCAGTCATTGTCAGTAACACTGATGGAACATTATGGATCATTATATTAAGTGAAATAAGCCAGGTGCAGAAAGACAAATGTTACATGTTCTTACTTATTTGTGGGATCTAAAATCAAAACAAACTCATGGACATAGAGAGTATAAGGATGGTTATCAGAGGCTGGGAAAGGTAGTTGGGGGGGGATTTTGTGGGAAGGTGGGGATGGTTAATGGGTATAAAAATAGAGAGTTAATAAGACCTACTATTTTATAGCACAATAGGGTGACTATATCCAATAATAATTTCATTGTACATTTTGAAATAACTAAGACTGTAATTGAATTTTTTATAACTTGAAGGATAAATGCTTGAGGGGAGGGATACCCCATTCCCCAAGATGTGCTTATTTCACCTTGCATGCCTGTATCAAAACATCTCAGGGACCCCACAGATACATACACATACTATGTACCCACAACATTTTTAAACAATCTAATACAATTTTTTAAATGGCTCTTATTTTTTGTTACCTTCAATTATTGTAAAATATATTCTATTATTTATGATTTGCCTTGTTTGAAAACAAATTTTAAAAACACTATTTAAGACCAGATAAATGGACTAGGAGTAACTTGCATAAAAATGACAGAAATTGCTGCTACTTCTTCTAATTATTGAGATGGTATTTCTATATTTGTGAAATTATCTGATAGAAAATTGAATTGTTTCCAACATTATTTTTCATAATTAAACATGTTATATTGCTACTTCTTTAAAAGTAGCCTTTAAAATATTACCAATCTATTTTAAAGTCTACTTGCCAAAACATTAAACTATTCTTAAAAAAAGTAATTTATTTAATTACCTAACATCCTCAAGCAATGTCCTAATTTTCTCAAGCAATTATCTGATTTTCTCAAGCAATTGATATTAGCAAGTTGTGCTAGCTAACTGCTGAGAATCATTGTCTACATATGAGATAAATCATCTATCAATCCTTTAAAGAAGACTTTATGAGCCATAGAGATTGTAGTCCAATCTGTATCACTGACTTTAAACATTGGATAATTGACACTCCGTGTTGTCTGTAAGCCTATTTCACAGCAGCTGAGTGATGTCAATAGGTACCTCTTGGAGTGCCATTTTCCTTGTAACCCTTAGATTAATTCAGATTGACTGAGTTCTGTGTCAGTGGAAATTGCCAGAATTATATCATGCTGCTTTGCATCTAGTTTCACTTTTCCAAAAGCCTACACAGATTTCAGATGTTTAGAAAATAGCTCTTGTTTTCCTTCTGGGTAATCTTTTTCATGTCACCACTCTTGTCAGCATCTGCATTGGGCAAATTTCCTAGGACCTCCCTTCTGCGTCTTTTAAAATATGAAAACAAAATCAATGTAGCGCAGCAAGCCAGGGAAAGTCTGCTTTGATTGACTTACGGCCATAGTCACCCAGCAGTTCCTTCAGATGTGGCTTCCCAGGTCAGCCACTGAGCCCACCGCTGTTCTCCTGCCTGCAGAAGTGGCTCTGTGAGCCGTTTGAGGAGAAAATGGGGGACTTTGGGCTTCAGCCCGAGGAGAACACGGTGGAGATGGAGGAGCCCCTGGGCGTCCGCAGGTTAACTGAAAACATGAGAGGACACAAGCACGGGACCAAGTCTGTCACTAACCTGTAAAGTACTCTCACCAAGCCGACCGGGCACTTTGTCTGAGCGCCTGCCTTTGCCACCACTGTGTGCAGGAATGCCTGGGGCATGACTGGGCCATCCCAGTGTTCTTATTTCTATACATTCCGAGGTTACCCCTCAGCAAAACGCCAGAGGCTGGCAGACACAGCGGAGCATCCTGCAGTAGGGATCCGAAGCCGTGGAATCTCCAAAGGACCACTTGACCGCGTCCCAGAAGCTCCAGCTCAGGCTGGACATTGCCCAGAAAGCCCACATCGTCTTTGGCAAGACCTCCCGGATTGTGGTTTTGATTTGCATTTCTCTGATGGCCAGTGATGATGAACATTTTTTCATGTGTCTGTTGGCTGCATAAATGTCTTCTTTTGAGAAGTGTCTGTTCATATCCTTCGCCCACTTTTTGATGGGATTGTTTGATTTTTTCTGGTACATTTGTTTAAGTTCTTTGTAGATTCTGGATATTAGCCCTTTGTCAGATGGGTAGATTGCAAAATTTTTCTGCCATTCTGTAAGTTGCCTGTTCACTCTGATGGTAGTTTCTTTTGCTGTGCAGAAGGTCTTTAGTTTAGTTAGATCCCATTTGTCAATTTTGGCTTTTGTTGCCATTGTTTTTGGTGATTTAGACATGAAGTCCTTGCCCATGCCTATGTTCTGAATGGTATTGCCTAGGTTTTCTTCTAGGGTTTTTATGGTTTTAGGTCTAACATTTAAGTCTTTAATCCATCTTGAAAAGTTAATAATAATAAAAATAATAATATGGAAGAAATTTAAAAAAAACCTCCCAGAGACCAGGAACTTGGGGCGCGCGGCCTGAGATCACCCCAAGCTCTGGGTGCCTTCCTGTCCTTCTGCTTCTTCCTTGGCCGCTTTAGGGGGCGCGCCTTGCCATGCGTCTCCCTGCGGGCGGCGCGGTGGTGCTCCTGGATGTCACCTCCAGGCGCTTTTGAGACTGCGACCGGCACTGGGCACCAGGCACCTGCGGATTGGCCTCCCCACGCCGGGTTCAGGGACCTCCAGCGCTCCGCGGTGCAGGCTGCAGGCGACCTCAACGTGGAGCTGCTGCCAGCGCCACAGGCCCCAGGGGAGGCCCAGGATGCTGCTTCCCCGCCCCAAGAAGGGCAGTTTGGAGGAAAGTCTTTGGCCTGATGGAAGGCGGCGCCCATCGGGGGCGGGGCTGAGAACTAGGCCGGCGCCGCTGCCTGGTAAGCGGGGACCAAGAGGCCCACGGCCTCCATCAGGAACCAGGTGCTTCTCCAAATCCCGGACGTCCAGGAGGAACAACGGCGTCAAGCTGGCTGACACCAGGAACACCCAGAAGTCCCCGCTCCTGTCTGTCCTTCCGCACTCAGGAGCGGGGATGGCCACAGGGACACCATCTGCCCACAAACCGCTGGCGTTTGCTGCCATGGTGCGCGGAGATGCGGTCCCCGAGGAGGCCACTTTCGGCCAGGACGCCGGGATCGTATCAGCGGCAGCATCCCGCGCTGACACTCAGTATTGACTTTCCCCGGACATTGCTGGATTTTTTCCTTTTTAAAACAATTTTGCAGTGGGAGAACAAAAAAGGGCATCCTCAGAGCTTTTACAAAATTCTCCTGGACCTGTTGTTCTATGGTGTTCACCTCTGCGTTTTACGCACCACTAATGGGCCAGAGCTCCTAAGGCCTATAAAGGCCCCACCCAGCGCTTTAGACACCCCTGAGGGACACTCGCGGCTCAGGAGGATAAATGTTCTCAGGGGCCTGCTGTGAGGAGGACATGCAGCCCCTCAGCCACCACATCTTCCTCCATTCCAGCCTGGAAAGAGAGACCTTGCCCTCCACCTTACAGGCCTTCCTGACCTTGGGACCCACTCTAGAGGCCACGCGCATTTCCACTGCCAAAGCAATGACACAGGAGATGGAAAGAAATTCTTGGCCAGGCGCGGTGGCTCACGCCTGTAGTCCCAGCACTTTGGGAGGCCAAGGCGGGCAGATCACGAGGTCAGGAGATCGAGACCATCCTGGCTAGCAAGGTGAAACCCCGTCTGTATTAAAAACACCCAAAAGGTGGCCGGGCTTGGTGGCGGGCTCCTGTAGTCCCAGCTACTCGGGAGGCTGAGGCGGGAGAGTGGCGTGAACCCGGGAGGCGGAGCTTACAGTGAGCCGAGATTGCACCACTGCAGTCCAGCCTGGGGGACAGAGCGAGACTACGCCTCAGGAAAAAAAAAATTATTTTGCCTTCACTATATGCCTAAGTAATTTCTCTATTAGAGCCCAGAGTCATGGGGCCCACACCGCCAGCTGACACATGAAAGTGTGGCAACGATGTGGTGGTGTCTCTGTGTGGCAGCGTGGTGGTGTGTCTGTGTGGTGGTGTGTCCGCATTTCTGTGTGGTGGTGTGTCCGTGTGGCAGAGTGTCTGTGTGGTGCTATGTCCATGTGGTGGTGTGTTCATGTATCTGCATGGTGATGTCTCCGTGTGACAGTGTGTTTGTGTATCCGTGTGACAGTGTCTGTGTGTCCTTGTTTCCACATGGCAGTGTCTGTGTGGTGGTGTCTGACAGTGTGGAGGTGTGTCCATGTGACAGTGAGGCGGTGTGTGTGTGTGTGGCAGTGTCCATGTGGCAGTGTGTTTTTGTGTTCGTGTGAGTGTGATGGTGTGTCCATGTGACAGTGTAGTGATGTCTCTTGTGTGTGTCCCTGTGATAGTGTGGTGGTGTGTCCATGTGGTGACGTCTCCGTGTGTCTGTGTGTCCCTGTGATAGTGTGGTGGTGTGTCCGTGTGGATTTCTCCGTATGTCTGTGTGTCCGTCCATGTGAATGTGCCAGTGTGTCCATGTGACGGTGTCTCCGTGTGGTAATGTCTCCGTGTGTCTGTACATGTGACAGTGTGGTGGTGTGTGCGTGTAACAATGTGGCGGTGTTCCCTTCCCGGCTTGCGGAGCTGGCGTCTTTCCCTCTCAGCCCAGGACGCCCCAGGAGACCCCCAGCTTGGAGGGCAGGAGGTGGCTTCTGTGGAGGGAGGCGCAGGGAGCCCCAACAGCCGAGTTTTGGGGTCCCCTGCATTGGGTGGGAGTGAGGAGAAAGGTGCCCGGGCAGCCAGGACAAGCCTGGGCCTGCCCTAAGGAGGTGACCCACTCCGGGCCTGCATTTTGGGGCGAGCACTCCAGCTCGGTCATCTTGTCCTAAGTCCTTTGTGTGCCGTGGAGATTGCTGAGTTTTGAAGAAGGGAAGGTCATCTTTGTCGCGGAAAGCCTGATGTGTTTCTCTATTGCTGTCACTTTTCAGCCTCATGGCTGGCGAAACATCAAACATTGGGCACCTTCTGCCAAGAAAACTCCCGGAAGAAAATGTGGGGACTGGCAGTATCCAACCAGAGGAGTCACACACAGATTTCTGTTTGGTTGGAGATCGGCCGTTTTTCCCTGTGGGTGGGGGAAGCGCAGCAGCTCTGCAGCGGGAAGGAAGGGGGGTTCTGTGTGGCCAGGAAGGTCCTGGCCCGGGGCGGAGGGGCCAGAGGTGATGTGCGGCGAAAGGCTGTGCAGGGCAGCGGGCAGTGTGCATCGCCCCTACTGCCGGGCGCCCAGGAGGAGGACAGGTCCCGGCCTGGCAGGAGCAGAGGCGACGGGGCTGGAGTCCCCGCACCAGGCTTGAGGGCCGGCGGAGCCGCAGGCTGTGGCGGAGGGGGACTCCCGGGCACCTGGTGGGTGTCCCCATGACCAGGATGCACACCGGGCTCCGGAGGCCAGGCGGACCAAGCTAGGGGTGCCAGGGGAGGCTCGAGGTTCCCTCGGTGGGAGGTGGGTCCCTGGACCCTGGTCTCCTGCTGCTGTCCCCCCTTCGCTCAGGGGCGCCCCGCCAGGGTCGCCTATCTGGGACCTCAGCGCAGCTCCTAGTGGGCGGGAGGCTGAGGCAGAGGCCTCCGGGCCCAGCTGGGTCTGCAGTTTCCACCACTCGTGATGCAGGGCGAGCTCAAGCTGTGCCACCCAGGCAGGAAACCCTCCGACCTTGCCAGCTTTGGCGCCAGCCTTGGTGACTCTCTCCAGCTCAGCTTCAACACCTTTCAACAGTTCTGTGTTCTCTATTATCACAAGAATTCTTTCTGTATTTCCTATCCTTTATCAAATAGGAATTTAAATATGCATATGGAGTGATTATCACAGTTGAAACATTAAACAATATACAATTTCATGTGTCTTTTTTGTTTAATGTATAATTTTCTAAGAAGTAAAATTATGACTCTACTGCAAATATAAGATAAACACATATCAACAATGTTTTTCAACTCAATAAGCGATGAGGGTTCCAGTAACAGGTTCAAATCATTGCAAGGAACATTAAAGGAGCTTTACAGCCAATGTTAACGTCAGATCGCTGGGTACTTACAGTACTGGTTAGTATCCAACATAGCCAGAAGCTGTCATCTTTGTGAGTTCTCTCTTCCATGGCACAGAAATGATGCGTTTTTCTACTGTACAAAATATTTATCTTTTCTACTACTTCTGCACATAAAAATATTGCTAGTCAGAAAAGACCAGAATTGCACTGAAAGAAAATCTCAGTAATATCTCTCACCTGTATTCTTACTTTTTCTTCCTTTATGAAATATCTTTCAACTGCATTTTCTATCTGAAAGTTTATAGAGAGATGAAAATGAATAAAAGCATAGTAAGTGAATATTTTGATAACATTTTGCAGCTTTATTCATGTCTAACGAACATAAAACACACTTCCAATATTTAAAGTGTAAATGAGATGAATTTGATATGTACATGTGCCCATTAATCACCATGAAGGGGACAATGAGCATATCCAATACTCTCAAAGCTTCCCAGTTCTCTTTTGTAATGCACACTCATACCTCTCAGGTGTGAAGTATTGAGCTTCACACACACACACACACAAATATATACTGGGATATCTAATTGTTTCAGAAGCATTTGTTGAAAATGTTATGTCCATGAATGGTCTAAGAACTTTATCAAAAATTAGCTGATAGATGATATACATGTGTATATCTATATTTGTACTACATTGTCTTAAGTATTACTGTAATGTTATAAGTCTTGAATCCAGGTGCTGTTAATTCTCCAGCAGCACCTGGTTTCAAAGTAACTGTTTCCTTTCAAAGTAATTTGCCATTATAGGTCCTCTACCCATCGATGTACATTTCAGAATTTTAGTTTCTCAATTTCTAAAATAAGAAATCCAGCTGTGATTTGATTGGAATTGTTATAGATCAATGTGGAAAGAGTAGACATCTTAACAATATTGAGATTTATGACTCATAAATTCCATTTATTTAGGTCTCGTTTATTTTAGCAATATTTTGTAGTTTTGTAGTTTTCAAATGTTTCTCTTTTTTGCTGGTTTATCTCTAAGTACTACATATTTTGATATTTACAATAATATCAAAATTATGGTAATATTAATGCAAATGTTGTTTTATTTTTTCCTCCATTAATTGTCAGGTAGTTTTAAATCATAATTTAATTGTATGATAAAACTGAATTTTGCGAGAAATGTATACATATTGTATATATACTTTTTTTCAGTTTGGCAGATTGACTGCATTATCATATCATAATTTAAAATTGCACTAATTACCACTCAGCCTCCTCTCAAGGACAATATATCAAAATATATAGCATGTTTCAGTTTACTTAGCATCATGAAACTCTCATATTGCACTTACTTTTGGAAACCTGGAATAATAAAATAATGTAAATGTCAGTTCACAGGCGACATATGAGTACATGCGACAATTTTCTAAATATCGACCTATCGCTCTTTAATTCTATGTTAATATTGTCAATTTTTTCCTCCTCTTGCAACTCTCTTATGCAGCTTATTGACTTTTGGTTCAATTCCTTCCCTGTTTTCCCCCCAATCTACTTTCTAATATTTTACTGATGTTGTGCTCCTTTTTATTTGGACACTTTTAAAAAGCTGTGTAATTTCTCCTTTGTATTAAAATGCAAATCCATATCCAAAATAAATGAGCGGAGGGACCAAAAAGATGTTTGTGCAGCGTGTCCGTTAGCAATATTATTCACAATAATCAAAGGGAGGGAGCAGCCCATGTGAATATTGATGGATGAGTGGTTAAACAAAATGTGGTATATACGGCAACATAATAATATTCAGCCTTAAAATATATTCTCACACATGCTACAAAATAGATGAAACTTGAAGACATGCTAAGTGAAATAAGCCAGTCAGAAAAATTCAAACATTCTATCATGCCACTTCTATGAGTTACTTAGTGAAATTTGTAGAGACAGAAAGTAGAATGGTGATTGCTAGGGGGAAGGAGAGGGAGAGGAATGGGAAGTTGGTGTTCAATGAGTAAAGCATTTTAGTTGGAGAAGAAGACAAGTTTTGGAGGTCTATGGTGGTGACTGTTGCACAATAGTGCAAATATACTTAATGCCACAAAACTGTGCACTTAAAGTGATTAAAAAGGTAAATTTTATGTTGTGTATATCTTTCCAGAATTATAAACCTGCCATCACAGTATAGAAATAGAATATATTATATAGCGTTAGGTGATGATATTTTACACATTTGCACATAATTAGAATTTCAAAGCCTTAATTTCAGATACGGTAGTCTAAGACATAACAATATTGATGTAAGAAAGCCGTAAGAAATGTTTATTTTCAATCAGATTTACTAAAAAAATTTATTGAACTGGTCAATTTTCTTTGCCAATATTACTGTATTCTTATTTCTAGTAATAGAGGTGTGAGAAAGCATCAAGGAAACTAAAATTGCATTCTCATACTGACTGCATACAATAATTCTGAAAACAGCAGAAGTTATGTATATCCCCCATAAGTAAAACATGAGTAACACAACAGAACAAAAATTAATAGGAGACAATTCAAACAATGGTGACCTGTTATTCTTATCTAGTTAAGTACTATTCTTTTCTAACAGGAATTTGCTATTTCAAATATATTATCTGAGATGTCTATATTTATATTTTGAGATGCCATACAAACTTGAGTCAATGACATAGAATTTTACAAATCAAGAAGCTTATTCTGGGGTCATTTCTTTTGACATTAAACTACTAAAGAGGCATTAATGATCCATAAATTATATTATCTACATTTACAGCATTTAAAATGTGTTCAGCATGAAATATTAGTTACAGGATAAGTGAAATAAATTAAACATGGAATAAAGATTTATCCTTAAATATAAATTACAAGAAGACTTGGTATTAGTTTTTCACAAGTGAAGCATTCTTATAAAATGTCATAACCTTTTTGGGGAAACTCTGGGAAAAATGGAGAAACTCTGAAGGGTTTTAAGTATCTTTCCTGAAGCTACAGACTCCATAATCTCTCTTTACAGGGAGCTCCTGCAGCTCCAACAGAAATGAGTGGCTGAGATTCCTGGTTGCAGAGCAGAGCTTCTCATCCAAACCCTTTCCCTTTTTAGTGTCTGTGTATCAGTATAAAAGTTCTATAAACTGTAGTTACTTATTTTAATCCCAAAGCACAGTAACAATATATTTCATCCAAGGGTTGGCAGTTTCTGTGAGTGTTTTGTCTAATTCTCCAAAACTCTATCTACAGGATTCCAAACAGCCTAAAAAGTAAAATATTTTAAAAAGGGGAAAGGGAGAAAGGGAAAGAAAATAAAATTAATAGCCCATTCTGTCACTGTTATTAAACACCAGAATACCTTTCTGTTAATCTAATTAAAATTAGTGACATCATTTAACATTTATGTCTTCAACAAAAGTTTGGAATCCTGAAAAAGACATTTAATTTCCTAATAAATATATTTGAATTGAATTGAAATCCTTACATATTACTTTAAATAAAGAACACAAGATGATTTATGATGTAGAAAATTCTATCCCTCATTGTCCAAAATCTAATAGTTAAATTGAACTTGTTAAATAATATTTTTGGCCAGGCATGTGGCTTACATCTGGAATCCCAATACTTTGGGAGGCAAAGGCAGGTGGATTGCTTGAGCTGAGTAGTTGCAGACCAGGCTCGGCAACATGGTGAAACCCAATCTTTACCAAAAAAAAAAAAAAATTTTAGCCAGGCGTAGTGGATTGCCTGCCTGTAGTCCCAGCTACTCAGGAGGATGAGGTGGGAGGATCACCGGAGCCTGGGGAAGCTGGGGCTGCAGTGAGCCATGATTGTGCCACTGCACTCCAGCTTGGGCAACAGACTGAGACCCTGTCTCAAAGAAAGACAGAAAGAAAGACAAGAAAGACAAGAAAGACAAGAAAGACAAGAAAGAAAAGAAAGAAAGAAAGAAAGAAAGAAAAGAAAGAAAGAAAGAAAGATAAAGAGAGAAAGGAAGGAAGGAAAATTAATAGTTTTGGTGGCAATAATCTTTATGGAATTTTGCTTTAATGAAATAGATTTAACTAAGTAGTGACATGATCTGCTTAAGTGTATTGACCCTAGCAATCAGAGGCCTCCGTATCCCCACAATGACTTAACAGTTACATTTGACAAGCCTTGATTCTCCTATCCTACGCACAGCATAGTCAGAATTTCAGAATTCCAACTTTCCCCATGCTATTTGGGCACGTTGCTTAACATCTCTAAGACTCGATATTTATACTCTTAAGATACTACTAATAATAGTACCTAGTTTTTATGATATAATGTGCATCAAAAGCATTATACTTTCAGGCAGATGGCAATTCCTCAATAAATATTTGCTAATGTTTTAGTACAAACAGGAAAATTGGATTATGATATTTATGACACTGTTGATTCTCCTTCTAGAAACATTTGTTTCTAAAACTTGTTTTCAAATTAGAGCACTATTTTGTATTCAGATTGAAAATACTATATGTTCAGATTTTTTAAAAAACAGTATTGCATGAATGTTTTAATTAAAATATTCCTAAATGAGCTTGAGCAAGGAGGACAGGGGAGATAAGTAAAATAAGGCTTTGTGGCATAGGAGACATTTGGTGGAAATCTTTCAGCTCAACTAAGATTTGAAAAAAAAAGAGAATTTTTATAAAAAATGTAAAGGCAGGATTTACACTGATGAGCTTGTGGAGAAAATACAGAGTCTAACATAATTCAAAAGAGACTAATCAGTCAAAGTGGTTTTGAAGGAATATCTTGAAGAGAGAGAACATAAAATGAAGATCAGGTATGTAGTTATTTTAATAATCTATCCATGAGATAAAAAGCATTGGGTTTTATTTGTCAAAATGGGACAATAGTTCCAAGAACCATTATTTGCTCAGCCTAAAGAGGTTTTTACATTTTGAACCAGCGACATATTGTGCTAAGTAGGATAATATCCAAATTTGTGTCTATATCAATAATTTTGTTCTCAATTAAAAACACTTTATTCACACAACTGATGATTATCTGCATTTGATTTAGTGCTGAACTGTCAAAGGGGGACTAACAAAAACAAAATATTAGAGTTGCAAGCAGTGTAAGTGGAAAATAATGATCATATTGAACTCATCATTACTGAAATAAGAAAACAAAGCAAAAAATAAATAAGAAAAAAATTGACTACGTGAACATTTGCTTCTCTCCTAAGAATCAAAACCCTTAATTTGCTGTGGCAAAAAAGCATCTGGGTCCATGAACCCATGCAAAAGTCTACTGTTTCTGGGAGATAAGAAGAAGCAAAACACATCAGCTTCCAGAGAAGGTTAAGAAACCTCTCATACCCTACCCTACCCCACCTGACACCAGGCAAAGGATCACTGCTTCTGGGAGAGGGATGCAAGAAAAATACTCCTCCATCAGGAGAGGAACAAGGATTGTTTTGGGGCCCAGGATTTTGCACTAATGCAGAGTCGTGCTACTGTGGTAAAGGTTTGGAAAGTCTCCATCCAGTGACCACAGACAAAGGTACATTGTTCCTATGGAAGGAGAAATAAAAGAGTTTGCCCTTATTGTGGGGTTGAAAACTTGCAATGATATAAATCAGGGGTTTTCTACTACTGAGGTGGGAGGAGGGTAAGGTATTATTTCTTCTGCAAAAAACAACACAGGTAAGTGACAGTTTGACTCCCACTAGAAAAAGAGTCAAGAAGTGTTAAAAATACCCCATCTCTGAGTGTCCAATGATGAAACTGGCTCAAAAACAACACAAACCATCCCTCTGTCCCCAACCTGAATTTTTTGCCTAGTCACACACACACACACACAAAATGATGTTCTACAGTTAGAGAAGAACAAGAAAGTGGAGAGAGACCCTCTCTATAACATAGGTTGTAAGGACTACCGAAAGCTAACTGTGGAACAGGATCATTGGCATATGCTCTCCAGAGTCTAAGGCCCCACACAAGGCACATCATATAGCAGTCTACTGCTGGAGAAATCTGAGTTACATTGTTCACTGAATGTTTCAGACACCGCAGCAAAAAGCAACCTTTGTTCCTGCCCACACTAATAGCACGACACAAACAAAAATGAAACAGAAATATAAAACAATCTCGACATAAATAATTATCTCATGATCTACTGTTTTTCTACATCAGATGATTTGCATTTTTTAGAAATTGGGAGACACATAAAAGCAAGTTAGAAATTTGAGTTATGAGTTATAATATTTTCAAAGGATAAAAAGTCAACAGAATCAAATTCAGAGATAATTCAGATGTTGGAACTAAATGAAAGTAATTTAAAATAATAATGATCAAAATGTTAAAGGATCTAGTTAAAAAAAGACAACATGTATGGAAAAATGAGGAATTTCAGCAAAGATGGGAACAGTAAAAGGCAAAATCTAGAAATAAGTGAAAGCATGAGAACAGAGATGAAGTATTACATCAGCAAGCTGATTAGCAGACTGGTCATCAGAGTTAAAGAAAGAAGCAGTAAATTTTATACTAGGTCAATACAAATCATTTGAATGGTAGCACAAAGGGAGGAAAGAGAAAAACCAAATAAACCAATGAACCAAGCAAATAAAATACTCCAGTGAATCAAAGAATTTTCTGGTAATATGAAATTAACCAAAATACAATTAATTGGAATTACAGAAGGAGAGTAAAAACAGAATGTGAGAGAAGAAAAATTTGAAAAAGATGACTGAGGAGACCAAATAACCTCAAAATATACAAGAAAGATTAATACAAAATTTAAAGAACGCTAGAATAATCACACTAGTGAAACTGCTGAAAACCAACGATTAGCATAAATCTTGAATTCAGTCACAGAAAAAATAAGAACACTGTGTAGAGAGATAAACAGAAACAAACATTGTAATGAACTGCTTGTCAGTAACTCTACAAGTCAGAAACCAATGATACAAAATTCTTAAATAACTGAAGAAAAGTCAACCCCCAATCTTATATCCATTAACTGTAATACAGCAAAAATAACAATTAAATGACATTTGCAGATTAACACTGGAAGAGTCCCTTGCTAACAGGTATGCACTAAAATAAATGTCAAAATCATTTCTTGAGGCAAAAGGAATATGGAAGCAGGTGAAAGTTGAAACTACACAAAGAAATAAATAATGCCAGAGAAGATATAAAGATATATAACCCAATTATTTTACATTGCTCTAAAGATAATTGATTGTCTAATTTTTTAAAAAAAGAGTAACTTTATATTATGGAATTCATAATATTTGAGACTATAATGCATGACATAAATAGTATAAAGGAGAGAGGAAACAGAAATATACATTTTAAGGTTTTTATACCATAGTTGGTATAGTACAAATTATAGGTTACTGTAATAAGCTAGAATAGGTATTGAAATCTCTAGAGAAACCATGAACATTTTTAAAAAATGGTATGTGCATTAATGTTTTCATAGAACTTCCAGCTTTTATTTATTTGTTTGTATTCATTTAATTTTATTTATTTTTTTTGAGATGGAGTCTCGCCCTGTTGCCCAGGCTGCAGTGCAATGGTGTGATCTCAGCTCACTGCAACCACCTCCGCCTCCCAGGTTCCAATGATTCTCCTGCCTCAGCCTCCTGAGTAGCTGGGATTACAGGTGCCCACCACCATGCCCAGCTAATTTTTGTATTTTTAGTAGAGACGGGGTTTCACCATGTTGGCCAGGCTTGTCTCAAACTCCTGGCCTCATGATCGGCCCACCTCAGCTTCCCAAAGTGCTGGGATTACAGACTTGAGACACCGTGCCAGGCCCCAGCTTTTAGTTTTTAAGGTAGTTGTTGTGTTATTACATGTGAAGTAAGGTTATTCTTAAATATCCATGTTTTGAGAATTAATGATAATGACAAGTTAATTTATCTCAATCTAAATGATTTTAATATTAAATATTTAAATATTTTTATTACTTTTCCTTTTTAACAGAAGTCATTCTAACTGGTGTGAGATGGTATTTCACTGATGTTTTGTTTTGCATTTCTCTGATGATTAGTGATGGTATGCATGTGTTAATATGTTTGTTGGCCACATATGTGTTCTTCTGAAAACTGTTCACGTTCTTTGCCCATTTTTTAATGGGGTTATTTATTTTTTGCTCGTTGATTTGCCTAAGTCTCTTATGGCTTCTGGATAATAGGCCTTTGCTGTATGCATAGTGTGTGAATATTTTCTTCCACTCGGTAGGCTGTCTGTTCAATCCCTTGAGAGTTTCTCATGCTGTGCAGAAGAAGCTCTTTAGTTTAATTAAATCATACTTGTCAATTTTTATTTTTCTGGCAATTGCTTTTGAGGACTTACCCATAAATTCATTGCCAAGTGCAATGTCCAGGTGAATATTTCCTAGGTTTTCTTCCAGGATTTTTATAGGCAGAGGATGTAATCTCATGTCAATGGGTCTTAATAATCAAATGACTCCACACTGAGAATCATTACTGTGAAAAATCGATTTTGTTATAATGATAGAAATTTAAACATATAAAAGTAAAAACAGATGCCACCTCTTTGCTAGAACTCTACAAGGCAAATTACTATAAGAGAGCCATTGCAGTGAAATAAGTGAAAGCACATTATAAATAAACTTACCTGATTTTACAAACTAACCTGTAAAGGGATTTGTACTAATTTTTCCATTGCCTGCATTGCCCTTTCTTCTAGATCCAATTTATATTTTTGTACTTCACCAATGTGTCTTCACCAATGTGTACTTTCCATACGTTTTTTAAGATTTAATATTACTTTTTCCAACATCTTTTTAGCCTCCTCAAGATTTTTACATTCCTGTTGTATTTTTTCATACATAATAACTCCTGTTGAATACCTTGATTGTTTTGAGTCAAACAGACATATTTTGAAGATACAGCTTCCAGCTCTGCTGTAAGATCATCAAACTACATTAATAAAATAATATAACTTGAAAATGAAGTAGGCTGAGAATAATCTCATACAAAACCAGTAACAAATTTTGAAATACATTTACTTGCAATAAAATGTTATCTATAATGTAGATTCTTTAAATGTTAACCCTTAAATTACTCAGAAATTCAAGAACAAAGTAAAAGCCACCATAAGTCACATATATTCTTTACTATCATCTTTGCCACAGAACTTTTGCACTTGATCTTTCTTTTACTTTTCTGATAATTTGTGTTTTTTCCTCCTTAAATGGCTCTATGTTAACTCTTATTAGAAAGTTTCAAACCCCTTTCTCTCATCATCGTGCCCCAAAATTTGTCAAAAAAAGTTTCAGAGATATAATATTGAGTTATTTAGGCCAAAGTCAATAAATGGCTCTTAGAATAAGACTTTGAAAATAATGTAATACTCTATGCTAGGCATGGTGGCTCATGCCTGTAATCCCAGCACTATAGGAGGCTGTGGCAGAAAGATTACTTGAGGCCAGGAATTTGAAACCAGCCAGAGCAACATAGTGATAACATAATCTCGACAAAAAATTTTATTTAAAATTAACCAGGCATGGTGACTTATGCTTGTAGATCCAACTAGTTGGGAGACTAAGGCACAAGGATGGCTTGGACTCAGAGTTCATGGCTGCAGTGAATTATGACCAAGCCACTCCACTTCTGCCTGGATGACAGACAGAGACCATATCTCAAAAAAACACAAAATAATCCTATAAATAAGGATTCTAATGCCATAAGCCTTTCCCTAGGCTGTAAATGTTTTATGCTAATTTGAATTGCATTTTTAAAAGTAATGACTCTTGGGGTAGAGGCCATAGAATACAGCACCCAGATATAAATCCACATATTTGCCTTACAAGAAATAAATCCACATTCTTGCCTTACAAGAGCTCCTGAAGGAAGCACTAAACATGGAAAGGGACAAACAGTATGAGCCACTGGGAAAACATACCAAATTGTAACGACCATCGACACTATAAAGAAACTGCATTAACTAATGGGAAAAATAAACAGCTAACAACATCATGACAGGATAAATTTCACATGTAACAATATTAACCTTAAATGTAACTGGGCTAAATGCCCCAGTAAAAAGACACAGACTGGCAAGTTGGAAAAAGACTCAAGACCCATTGGTGTGCTGTATTCAGGAGACCCATCTCACATGCAAAGACACACACAGGCTCAAAATAAAGGGACGGAGGAATATTTACCAAGCAAATGAAAAGCAAAAAAAAAAAAAAAAAAAAAAAAAAGCAGGGGTTGCAATCCTAGTCTCCGATAAAACAGACTTTAAATGGAAAAGATCAAAAGAGACAAAGGGCATTACAAAGCAGTGCCATCTGCTTTTCCTCAGGACTCTGCTCCATCAGCCATCAGGTGGCAGCCATTCAGGCTGTTGGAACCTGGCCATCCATGCTTCTTTGAGTGGGTGAGATTAAAGGCTGGTCCAACTGCACCAGGAGCATGCTTGCAGAGGTGGCTGCTTGCTCTTTGAGCCAGCTTGGCTTTGCCTGGCATGCACAGGCCCCAGCTACTGACAAGCTGCTCTGAGTGAGCTTGTCCTGCCTGGGGCCAAATTCTAAGTCTGGCCAGGGCCACAGAAGGGCAAGTCCCCTGGGTGGTAATCCTGACTTTTTTCTGCACTTGAACATAAAGTCCTCCTCAAGACGGCCTGTGGTCTGCCTCTTGGCAACCAAGAAGCCTGCAGTGCCATATAAGCTCGGAGGCATGGACTAGAGCCCCAAAGGCAGTGAACACCCTGCTCCTGAGCCTGCTGCTCATTTCCTCTGTGTGGCTCCATTTGTAGCACAGTTGTTGTACTGAGGCTTGTGCATGCTGGGCAAGGACAAGCTGGCTCAAAGAGGAACCAGCCACTTCTGCAAGGGTGTGCCAGGAGCAGGTAGACCAGCCACCAACCTCACTCACTGCCTGCCAGACATGGCACATCAGTTCTTCTACCCTAGAGGTAGGGCCCCAGTGCCATCTGCTTTTTCTGAGGCCTCTGCTCCATCAGCCATCAGGTGGCAGCCACACAGGCTGTGGGAACCTGCCTATCCTTGCTTCCTTGAGTAGCAGAGGTTGGTGGCTGCTCTACCTGCTCCCGGTGCACCCCTGCAAAGGTGGCTGGTTGCTCTTTGAGCCAGCTTGGCCTTGCCTGGCATGCAGAGGCCCCAGCTACTGACATGCTCCTCTGAGTGAGCTTGTCCTGCCTTGGCCCAAATTCTAAGTCTGGTCAGGTCCACAGAAGGCAGAGTCCCCTGGGTGGTAATGCTGGCTGCTTTCTGCATTTGAACACAAAGTCCTCCTCCAGACGACCTGTGGTCTGCCCCTTGGCAATGAAGAAGCCCGCAGTGCCATATGAGCCCTGAGGCATGGACTGGAGCCCCAAAGGCAGTGCACACCGTGCTCCTGATCCTGCTGCTCATTTCCTCTCTGTGGCTCCATTTGTAGCACAGTTGTTGCACTGAGGCTTGTGCATGCCGAGCGAAGCCAAGCTGGCTCAAAGAGGAACCAGCCACCTCTGCAAGGGTGTGCCAGGAGCCGGTGGAGCAGACACTAAACTCACTCGCTGCCGGTTGGGGCACATCAGTTCTTCTCCCATAGAGGTCGGGCCCCAGTGCCATCTGCTTTTCCTCAGGCCTCTGCTCCATCAGTCTCCAGGTGGCAGCCACTCAGACTGTTGGAACCTGGCCATCCATGCTTCCTTGTGTGGGTCAGTTTGATGGCTGCTACATCTGCTCCAGGCACACCCTTGCAGAGGTGGCTGGTTGCTCTTTGAGACAGCTTGGCCTTGCCTGGCATGCACAGGCTCCAGCTACCGATACGCTGCTCTGAGTGAGCTTGTCCTGCATTAGGCAAAATTCTAAGTCCGGTCAGGGCCACAGAAGGCAGAGTCCCCTGGGTGGTAATCCTGGCTGCTTTCTGCACTTGAACATAAAGTCCTCCTCAAGATGGCCTGTGGTCTGCCTCTTTGCAACCAAGAAGCCCACAGAGCCATACTAGCCCGGAGGCATTGACTGGAGCCCCAAATGCAGCACACACCCTGCTCCTGAGCCTGCTGCTCTGTTTTCTCTGTGTGGCCCCATTTGTAGCACAGTTGTTGTACTGAGGCTTGTGCATGCTGGGCAAGGCCAAGCTGGCGCAAAGAGAAACCAGCCACCTCTGCAAGGGTGTGCCAGGAGCAGGAGGACCAGCCACCAACCTCGCTCACAGCTGGTCGGTGTACATCACTTCTTCTACCCAAGAGGTAGAGCCCCAGTGCCATCTGCTTTTCCTCAGGCCTCTGCTCCATCAGCCATCAGGACGCAGACATGCAGGCTGTGGGAACCTGGCCATCCCTACTTCCTTGAGTGGGTGAGGTTGGTGGCTGCTCCACCTGCTCCAGGTGCACCCTTGCAGAGGTGGCTGGTTGCTCTTCGAGCCACCTTGGCCTTGCCTGGCATGCACAGGACCCAGCTACTGATACACTGCTCCGAGTGAGCTTGCCCTGCCTGGGGCCAAATTCTAAGTCTGGCCAGGGCCACAGAAGGCAGAGCCCCTGGGTGGTAATACTGGCTGCTTTCTGCATTTGAACATAAAGTCCTCCTCAAGATGGCCTGTGGTCTGCATCTTGGCAACGAAGAAGCCCACAGTGCCACACGAGCCCTGAGGCATGGACTGGAGCCCCAAAGGCAGCGCACACCCTGCTCCTGAGCCTGCTGCTCGTTTCCTCTATGTGGCTCCATATGTAGCACAGTTGTCGCACTGAGGCTTGTGCATGCCAGGCAAGGCCAAGCTGGCTCGAAGAGTAACCAGCCACCTCTGCAAGGGTGTGCCAGGAGCAGATGGACCAGCCACCAACCTCACTCACTGCCGGTCAGGGTACATCACTTCTTCTACCCTAGATGTAGGGTCCCAGTGCCATCTGCTTTTCCTCAGGCCTCTGCTCCATCAGCCATCAGGAGGCAGCCACTCAGGTTGTTGGAATCTGGCCATCCCTGCTTCCTTGAGTGGGTGATGTTGGTGGCTGCTCCACCTGCTCCTGGAGCACCCTTGCAGAGGTGGCTTGTTGCTCTTTGAGACAGCTTGGCCATGCCTTTCATGCACAGGCTCCAGCTACTGACACGCTGCTCTGAGTGTGCTTGTCCTGAGTTAGGCCAAATTCTAAGTCCGGTCAGGGCCACAGAAGGCAGAGTCCCCTGGGTGGTAATCCTGGCTGCTTTCTGCACTTGAACATAAAGTCCTCCTCAAGATGGCCTGTGGTCTGCCTCTTTGCAACCAAGAAGCCCACAGAGCCATACTAGCCCGGAGGCATTGACTGGAGCCCCAAATGCAGCACACACCCTGCTCCTGAGCCTGCTGCTCTGTTTTCTCTGTGTGGCTCCATTTGTAGCACAGCTGTTGCACTGAGGCTTGTGCATGCTGGGCAAGGCCAAGCTGGCGCAAAGAGAAACCAGCCACCTCTGCAAGGGTGTGCCAGGAGCAGGTGGACCAGCCACCAACCTCACTCACAGCTGGTCGGTGTACATCACTTCTTCTACCCAAGAGGTAGAGCCCCAATGCCATCTGCTTTTCCTCAGGCCTCTGCTCCATCAGCCATCAGGATGCAGCCATGCAGGCTGTGGGAACCTGGCCATCCCTACTTCCTTGAGTGGGTGAGGTTGGTGGCTGCTCCACCTGCTCCAGGTGCACCCTTGCAGAGGTGGCTGGTTGCTCTTTGAGCCAGCTTGGCCTTGCCTGGCATACACAGGCCCCAGCTACCGACATGCTGCTCTGAGTGAGCTTGTTCTGCTTTGGCCCAAATTTTATCTCTGTCCAGGGCAGAGTCCCCTGGGTGGTAATCCTGCCTACTTTCTGCACTTGAATATCAAGTCCTCCTCAGGATGGCCTGTGGTCTGCCTCTTTGCAACGAAGAAGCCCGCAGTGCCACACGAGCCCTGAGGCATGGACTGGAGCCCCAAAGGCAGCACACACCCTGCTCCTGAGCCTGCTGCTCATTTCCTCTCTGTGACTCCATACCTAGCACAGATGTTGCACTGAGGCTTGTGTATGCCAGGCAAGGCCAAGCTGGCTCAAAGAGCAACCAGCCACCTCTGCAAGCGTGTGCCAGGAGCCGGTGGAGCAGCCACCAAACTCACTTGTTGCAGGTCAGGGCACATCAGTTCTTCTACCCTAGAGGTAGGGCCCCAGTGCCATCCGCTTTTCCTCAGGCCTTTGCTCCATCAGCCATCAGGAGGCAGCCATTCAGGCTGTGGGAACTTGGCCATCCCTACTTCCTTGAGTAGCTGAGGTTGGTGGCTGCTCCACATGTCCCAGGTGCACCCTTGCAGAGGTGACTGGTTCCTATTTGAGTCAGCTTGGCCTTGCCTGGCATGCATAGTCTCCAGCTACTGACATGCTGCTGTGAGTGAGCTTGTCCTGCCTTGGCCCAAATTCTAAGTCTGGTCAGGGCCACAGAACGCCAAGTCCCCTGGGTGGTAATCCTGCTGCTTTCTATACTCGAACATAAAGTCCTCCTCAAGACAGCCTGTGGTCTGCCTCTTGGCAACCAAGAAGCCCGCAGTGACATATGAGCCCTGAGCCATGGACTGGAGCACCAAAGGCAGTGTACACCCTGCTCCTGAGCCTGCCTCTAATGTCCTCTGTGTGGTTCCATTTGTAGAACAGTTGTTGCACTGAGACTTGTGCATGCTGGGCAAGGCCAAGCTGGCTCAAAGAGCAACCAGCCACCTCTGCAAGGGTGCACCTGGAGCATGTGGACCAGCCACCAACCTCACTTGCTGCCAGACATGGTACCTCAGTTATTCTACCCTAAAGGTAGGGCCCCAGTGCCATCTGCTTTTCCTCAGGCCTCTGCTCCATCAGCCATCAGGTGGCAGCCACTCAGGCTGTGGGAACCTGGCCATCCCGGCTTTGTTGAGGGGGTGAGATTGGTGGCTGGTCCAACTGCTCTAGGCACACCCTTGCAGAGGTGGCTGGTTGCTCTTTGAGCCAGCTTGGCTTTGCCTGGCATGCACAGGCCCCAGGTACTGACACGCTACTCTGAGTGAGCGTGTCATGCCTGGGGCCAAATTCTAAGTCTGGCCAGGGTCACAAAAGGCTGAGTCCCCTAGGTTGTAATCCTGGCTGCTTTCTGCACTTGAACATAAAGTCCTCCACAAGATGGCCTGTGATCTGCCTCTTGGCAACCAAGAAGCCCACGGTGCCTTATGAGCCCTGAGGCATGGACTGGAGCCCCAAAGGCAGTGTACACCCTGCTCCTGAGCCTGCTGGTCATTTTCTGTGTGGCTCCATTTGTAGCACAGTTGTTGCACTGAGGCTTGTGAATGCCAGGCAAGGCCAAGCTGGCTCAAAGAGCAACCAGCCACCTCTGCAAGGATCCACCTGGAGCAGGTGGACCAGCCACCAACCTCACCCACTTAAGGAAGCAGGGAATGTGTGTTTGTACCATGCATTGCACTACAAGTACATTTCTCCTGAGTTTGGTGGCCTAGGTTTTCTTCTAGGTTTTCTATGGTTTTAGGTCTTAAGTTTAACTCTTCAATCCATCGTAAGTTAATTTTTGTATAAAGTGTAAGGAAGTGGCCCAGTTTCAGTTTTCTGCGTATGGCTAGCCAGTTTTCCTAACACCATTTATTGAATAAGGAATCCTTTCCCCATTGCTTGTTTTTGTCAGGTTTGTCAAAGATCAGATGGTTTTAGATGTGTTGTGTCATTTCTGAGGCCTCTGTTCTGTTCCATTTGTCTATATATCTGGTTTGGTACCAGTACCATGCTGTTTTGGTTACTGTAGCCTTGTAGAATAGTTTGAAGTCAGGTACCGTGATGCCTCCAGCTTTATTGTTTTTGCTTAGATTGTCTTGGCTACGCGAGCTCTTTTTTGGCTCCATATGAAATTTAAAGTAGTGTTTCTAATTGTGGGAAGAAAGTCAATGGTAGCTTCATGGAGATAGCACTGATTCTATAAATTACTTTGGGAGATATGGCATTCAGGCACAGAAATGTCCTTGTGTTAGGCAATACCATTCAGGACATAGGCATAGGCGAAGACTTCATCACTAGAACACCAAAAGCGATGGCAACAAAAGCCAAAATTGACAAATGGGATCTAATTAAACTAAAGAGTGTCTGCACAGCAAAAGAAACTATCATCAGAGTGAACAGGCAACCCTCAGAAAGGGAGAAAATTGTTGCAATCTATCCATCTGACAAAGGGCTAATATGCAGAATCTATAAAAACTTAAACAAATTTACAAGAAAAAAACAAACAACCCCATCAAAAAGTGGGCAAAGGATATGAACAGACACTTCCCAAAGGAGACATTTATGCAGCCAATGAACATGTGAAGCAAAGCACTGGTCATTAGAGAAATGGAATTCAAAACCATAATGAGATACAATCTTACGCCACTTGGAATGGCCATCATTAAAAAATCAGGAAACAACAGAAGCTGGAGAGGATGTGGAGAAATAGGAATGCTTTTACACTGTTGGTGGGAGTATAAATCAGTTCAACCATCGTGGAAGACAGTGTGATGATTCCTCAATGATCTACAACTAGAAATACCATTTGACCCAGCAATCCCATTACAGTGTATATACTCAAAAAAATATAAATCATTCCAATATAAAGACACATGCACACGTATGCTTATTGCGGCAGTGTTCACAACAGGAAAGACTTGGAACCAACCCAAATGCCCACCAATGATAGACTGGATAAAGAAAATGTGGCATATATACACCATGGAATACTATGCAGTCATAAAAAAGGATGAGTTCATATCCTTTGCAGGGACATGGATGAAGCTGGAAACTGTCATTCTCAGCAAACTAACACAAGAAGAGAAAACCAAACACCACATGATCTCACTCATAAGTAGGACCTGAACAATGAGAACACATGGACACAGGAAGGGAAACATCACACACAAGGGCCTGTCAGGGTGGGGGGCTAGAAAAGGGATGGCATTAGATCATGGGTTGGTGCATGCAGCAAGCCACCATAGCATGTGTATACGTATGTAACAAACCTGCATGTTCTGCACATGTACCCCAGAACTTAAAGTATAATTAAAAAAAAATAAATTTGCTTTTAATTAAGCTTTTCAACATAGAACTTGTAAAGAAAATACTTCTGAATCTTTTACTACCACATCATAGCTGGGACAAACTGCTGATATTTTAAAAGTAACACAAATATCAAACAGAAAGAACTAGACTTAGGAACCAAACTCAGGTTTCTGTAGTGAACAGGGCAGAATCTTAACTTTGGGTCGCCACCACTACTCCCTCAGTTTGGCCTTGGCTAGCAAAAGATGCAACCACTTATGCAAAAAATAAAAATAAAAAAGTTAAAAAAATCATTTCTGCTAACTGGAATTTTTTTTTTTTTTTTTTGCAGCCACATGAGTTTTAGCCAATTCAGAAGCCTTGTTCCCCACAATTTGGAGCATTCTTTGGATTTGACCAAGTCAGGAAGAGATGGGAGAAAAGTGAAACAACAACAACAAAACCCCAAACATAAACAAACAAAAAGAGTTAAGCAAAACAAACAAATGCACAATTCATATGATTACTGAGTGTTCTAATGGTAACGAGAAATTAAAAGCAGCTGGTGAGTAATCTTAAATTTTAGTCATTAAGGAAAAATTTTAAGACAAAACTCTAATTCAGCTACTTACCTGGAAATAAGTCTCAGGCTGGTGATTGTTCTCTGCCATCTTAGAAGCTGGAAAAAACTTACACTCACCTTCCCTGTCAGAAGCAAGCTGAAACTCAAGAAAGGAGGTGCCTGCTCTCCATCATCACGGAAGCAGGAAAACTTGCCTTGTTGGAAATAAGTAAAACTTCAGAAAAGGAGTTGTATAGCAAAATCAACCTTAGATCTCAACCAAATTTTGGGAGATCAGGGATTCTCTGCAGGGGAGAAGCTCCCTAACCTCAGCACATTATCCTATTGGTTTGGGCAATAAAGATAGCCCAGGTTGGTATCAAGCAATAATGAGATTTATCAAAGGTCAGGACCACCTTTGTAATCTCCTTCTCTCTTTTTTTTTTTTTTTTTTTTTTTTTTGAGACGGAGTCTCACTGTCTCGCCTGGGCTGCAGTGCAGTGGCACGATCTTGGCTCACTGCAAGCTCCACTTCCCAGGTTCACACCATTCTCCTGCCTCAGCCTCCCAAGTAGCTGGGACTACAGGCACCCGCCACCATGCCCAGCTAATTTTTTGTATTTTTCGTAGAGACGGGGTTTCACCGTGTTAGCCAGGATGGTCTCGATCTCCTGACCTTGTGATCCATCTGTCTCAGCCTCCGAAAGTGCTGGGATTACAGGCGTGAACCACCGCGCCCAGCCCTCTGTCTTTTTTTTTTTTTTTAATCTTTATTGGTATAGTCTGCTTTGTCAGAAACTAGGAGTGCAACACCTGCTTTTTTCTATTTTCCATTTCCTTGAAATATTTTTCTCCATTCCTTTATTTTGAGCCTATGTAGGGCACTGCATGTGAGATGGGTTTCTTGAAGACGGCATACTCCAATGGGTCTTGGTTCTTTATCCAGCTTGCCCCCTGTGTCTTTCAATTGGAGCATTTAGCCCATTTCCATTTAAGGTTAGTAATGGTATGTGTGGATTTGATCCTGTCGTCATGCTGTCAGCTGGCTTTTTTGCAGACTTATGTATGTGGTTGGTTTTTAGCATCACTTGTCTGTGTACTTCAGTGTGTTTTTGTAGTGGCTGGTGGTGGTCTTTTCTTTCCATATTTAGTGCTTCCTTCAGGAGCTCTTGTAAGGTAGGTCTGGTGATAATGAATTCCCTCAGCATTTGCTTGTCTGAAAAGGATCTTGTTTCTCCTTCACTTATGATGCTTAATTTTGCTGGACATGAAATTCTGGGTTGAAATTTCTTTTCTTTAAGATGTTGAATATCTTTTCTGGCTTGTACAGTTTCAGTTGAGAGGTCTGCTAAGTCTGATGGAATTCCCTTTGCAGGTGATGTTGCCTTTCTCCCTAGCTGCCTTTAACACTTTTTCTTTTATTTTGACCGCAGAGAATCTGATGATTATGTGTCTTGGGGATGATCTTCTCATGGCATATCTTACTGAGGTTCTCTGGATTTCCTGAAGTTGAGTGTTGGCCTGTCTGGCTAGGTTGGGGACATTCTCATGAATGATATTCTGAAATGTGTTTTCCAAGTTGGTTCCATTCTCCTCATCTCCTTCAGGTACATTAATCAGTCATAGATTTAGTCGTTTATATAATCCCATATTTCTCGGATGTTTTCTTCATTCCCTTTCATTCTTTTTTCCCCCATTCTTGTTTGCCTGTTTTATTTCAGAAAGCCAGTTTCCAGGCTCTGGGATTCTTTCCTCTTCTTGGTCTATTCTGTTGGATGGTCTTGCACATGAGATGGAGCTGGTCTGACCTCAGCCCTCCCTAGTCTGCTTGCCTCTCCCAGGACCCCAGCCTGGCCACATCTGCTTACAGGGCACTCTCATGTGCCCACACATACTACAATAATTTTCATAATGCAATCACACACAATCACCATGTGACTGCATTATGAAAATTCTTCTAGTGTGATTTACAGCTCTGTCAGGTCAGTTATTTTCTTCTTTATACTTGCTATTTTGTCTGTTAGTTCCTGCAATGTTTTACAATGATTTTTAGCTTCCTTGTATTGGATTACAACATACTTCTTTCACTCAGGGAACTTTGTTCCTACCCATATCCTGAACTCTGCTTGTATCATTTCAGACATCTCAGCCTCAGCCCAGTTCTGAACACTTGCTGGAGAGTTGATGCAGTCATTTGGAGAAAAGAAAGCATGCTGAATTTTTGAGTTTTCAGTGTTCTTGCACAGAGTCTTTTTCTCATCTTTATGGGCTTATCCACCTTCAATCTTTGAGGCTGCTGACCTTTGGACAGGGTATTTTTCCTTTATTATATCTGATGACCTTGAGGATTTGATTGTGGTGTAAGGTGGATTCAGCCAACAGGTTTTGTCTTTGGAGGATTTTAAGGGGCCAACATGCAGCTCCCAATTCTTGGACTGTGTGCTTTAACTCTGGGGAACTTGTATTGGGCCACAACTTTGTTCTCTGGCTCCTCGAGGTTTGGAGTCCACCGCACTGAGGGGACCAAAGTGCGGCAGCTGTGGCAGAATGCTAGCAGATGCAAAAGTCCCTGCCTCCCTGTGGGCATTCACCTAGTGGTGGAGGCAAAACAGCTGGGGTGTGGGCCAGGGGGCCCCTGCTGACTGTGTGTGCTGTTGCACTGGAGGTAGTTCTGGTTTGGGGTGGGTGGCTGGCCAGTGAAGGTGCCTTCTCTGATCCCCCCCAAGCAACAGTGGTCACTCAGGGTATAAGAAGGTCCCTTTTCCTCTGCACAGCATTACCTCAAGGGTGAGATGCTAGCAGGGGTGGGGTTTTTGGTTCTGTGCCCACCATGGCTTCATCTTCAGTGGCAGTTGGTGTGGGTTGGGGTGTGTGCTGCATTCCCATATGCTGTTAGGGCAAGTACAACAAAACCCACCTGTGTAAACACACACAGCTAAGTGATGTAGGAAGTTTCCATATAAAGGGCTGCAGTATGGAGAGGTAATGTGTAGGCTGGTACGTGGCTGTAGAGGTCACCTTGCTGCAGCTCTCCACTGATCAGCCACGGTCCGCTTGTACAGAAGCTATGGTGTGGGCACCCAGAAGTGCCCTCTAAGCAGGTGTGGCCTGGCTGGGGTCCTGGGAGAGGCAAGCAGACTAAGGGGTGCTGAGGTCAGACCAGCCCCATCTCATGTGCAAGACTGCCCAGCAGAGATCAGGTCTCAGAGGAGAACTCTCTCAAAAGTGAATCCTCAGCACAGCACAACTGCTCTACACAAACGCGGCCAGACTTCTTTTTTAAGCAAGTCCCCCTTTTTAGGAAGAGAACTCTTAGACCTGATCTGTGCTGGGCAATCTTGCACGTGAGATGGGGCTGGTCTGACCTCAGCACTCCTTAAGTGCTGGGATAAAGTGTCTCATAAGAGCAAGTGGAGCCTAGAGACATAGATGTCCCTGCCCTCCGGGCTCCACATCAGCTGACTTGCTGCTCCACCACTTTCCTTGTCTCCTGGGGGCTACACCCCAGAGAGGTGTAAGTTAGGAGTTACTTAATGTAATCACCCCAGGATGGAGGGTCTGTGCTGTGGGCCCAAGCCAGGGTTCCTTGTCTGGTGATGAGCAGTAAGGAGTGTGTTGTACCCGTGGAAGGTGGACTGACTTGTTCCTTGTGTCAACTGCAGCTTGTTGGAGGTGTCAATATGGCACTTAGGGTCTTTGCTCCCTTGATATTCTGAGGGTAGCAAGGGCAGTTCCACTGCAGAGGCAGTGGCAGAGAGGATTTCTGTTGCTCCTGGAAGCTCTGTCCAGGGAGTTGCTGAGTTGCTACTGGCTTGAAGGCTCAAGTGGGGGGCTGGCTGGAGACCCAGGCCAGGAAGACCTGCCCATCATGGCCCACCCCTCTCTCTGGGAACTCTGTCCCAGGAAGGTTTCAAATCTCCATTGGCCAGGGAACACTGGTGGGTGTAGCTGGAGGCCTCAGGTGGGAGATCCTGTCCAGTGATGAGGAACAGGATCAGGGGCCTGCTTACAGAAGCATTCTGGCCATGATTTGGTAAAGCAGCTGTGCTATGCCACAGGATCTCTTCTGTCCCTGGTGAGTTTGTACTCTCCAAAGCCCGCACGCTGGAATGACTAAGTTGCCCAAACAGGAAAGATGGTGGCCTGCCTCATCTTTTCTCTCAGAATTTATCCTGTGTGATGGAGCTTAATTTTTAGGTTGTTAATTTTACTGTCAGCGTTAGAGTTGTTCAGAAAGAATCTCACTGTTATCTTTTAGGTGAGATATATAAGAATTCATTTTCTCCTGTAAATAAACCTGTTGATGTTTGCTCTCTGGAAAGAAGTCCCTTTCAGCTATCTGACTTTGATCACAATCATGTAGAGCAGTAGTCAGTCTACAATGACATGATTGAATTTCCATTTCCAGTGTTTCCTAGCTGTGTCTTACATTCTCCAGTTCAGAACTGAGCATTCTCAGTTGTCAAAATCCTAAGCTGTCCACTGTACTTAAATACTGGTTTTCGTTAATGCTTCTTCATTCAGTTGTATAGCCTTTAGAAGTTTTTCTTTTACACTTTCAATTTCCTCCAAAATTTTATTTTCCCTTAGCTGGTTCTGATGTTTTGTTTCATCTAGTTCCAGTCTTAGCATGGCAATTTCTTCCCGCAACATGCTGTTTTCACGCAAGAGATCTTCTTCTTTCTTATGACTAAGAGAAAGCTAAGTAAACAAAGGGAACTTTTAGTTAGCACTCAATAGAATGACATATCATGATTTCTTCTAAAATCAAAGAATGACATTTATATTTCTATAATGAAATAATTCCCATAGTGGATATTTAACTGGAAAAAAGTTGGACAAAACTTCAAATCTAGAAGAGTGTAAATTCCAAAAAGTTGAAATATTTATCTAAAGACCATGAAAAATAAATCACTAGAGGATTTTTAAGAATTTCAGAATTGGAAAAGCCTTTCTCTGAATTACAAAAAACCCAGAGGCATAAAATAGAAGATTAATACATTTGGCTACATTTTTTAAATTGGGTTTACACTCTGATATCTAACCTACAAACCACACCATCATAAGAGCCTTAGCTATGCATATATTAGGACAGAAGCAATTCCTCAAAGTTCTTTAAGTTCCTTTTTCTGAGGAATGTTTTATCAATATACTGCTTTTCTAATATTTTTACAGTCAGTTATAAGAATTACATTTATTCATAACTGTTAAATCTAAGCATTGTACCCTTCTACAATGTACACACCGGCATCTAAGCATTGCACTTCTACATACAACACTCAACTCATTTAAGATCACGATTCTTAAAAGGAGAGATCAAAAAATATATGCAGCCAGGACCAGTGGCTCACACCTGTAATCCCAGCACTTCAGGAGGCTGAGGCAGGAGAATCGTGTGAACCTGGGAGGCAGAGGTTGCAGTGAACTGAGTTTGTGCCATTGCACTCCAGCGTGGGTGACAGTGCAAGACTCCATCTAGAATACACACACACACACACACACACACACACATATATATATGCAACGTGCAAGATTTTTGCCAGGTCTTCTGATGCTACTGTTAGTGATCCTCCACAAAATCAGTTGCTTCTGTGGTGTAAATATATAAATACAAAAGAAGCCTTTTATTTCAAAATACAGATGGTAAATAAGATATAACTTACAAGGCTTTTCTTAGAAATCATGAGATTATTTGCCATTGCAATAACTTTTCTTTCCTCTTCATAATGTTTGAAACATTATAGTAGTAAGTGTGAAATACGGGAAACGTACTGAACTATTCATCTGGGAACAAAATACTTATCAATAAATTATCACTAAATGTGTATCATGGCATGTCATTGTTTTCAAAGCTCTTTGCATTGAATTGAGAAACTACTCGGAGCAAACTGTTCCTCTCCTCAAAAGCAAGGATAATGACATCCACAATGTGGCCTCTGACCCAGCTGTACATTTCCTACTTTCCTATTAGTGAAAATAACAAACTGACTTCTCTATTAATATTTTAAAAAGAACTAATGTCCCAAAACTAGCAAATCTGTTGTTAGTAGCAAAACTTATTTTTGATATTGGAAAGATAATCAATTCTTATGAAAAATATCAAATGCTTTTCCTTTGGATTGAGGCCATTGTGAAGGTCACTACTCGACTGTTGCAGGCAAATGCAGTTGAATTAAGAACATGGCTTTATCCTATGTGTACATATATAGATATATGACCAAGGATATACAGGGTGTGTGTGTGTGTGTGTGTGTGTATATACACACACACACACACACACACGTGTGTATATATATGATTTAAAAATCCTTTATACCTTCCAAAATAAAGCTTTTTAAAAATATATACACATATGAAAACATTTGATAATGACTAAAGAAAATACCTCAGAATTCATTTCCTTTTCAGCCACTTCTATCTGCTTTTGTTTATTAGTCAGAATCTCATCTTGTGATATTCCAGTGTTCTGTTCTTCAGAAAGTTGTTTCTGGGTATCATTTTGTTCGTCACTAGAAGAAATTTTAATTTTCATGAAATACTGGAGGTGTCCCTAAAATGATCTACAGGGCAAGATGGCACCATCAGATGTCATTCACACAATGTATATCTGCACATTAATCCAAGACAAGGCAAAGGGGCCTCACATCTGTTAACCCTGCTCTCCCAGTCATGTTGGCACCAGGGACTAGTTTTGTGGAAGATAATTTTTCCATGGACCTGAGGTGGGGGATGGTTCCAGGATGATTCAAGCACATTACATACATTGTGCACTTCATTTCTATTATTACTAATATATAATGAAATAATTATATAACTCACCATCATGTAGAATCAGTGGGAGCCCTCAGCTTATTTTCCTGCAACTAGATGGTCTCATCTAGGGGTGACAGGAGATGGTGACAGATCATAAAGCATTAGATTCTCATCAGGAGTGAACAACCTAGATCCCATGCATGAGCAGCTTGCAATAGGGTTCAAGTCACACTCTTATGAGAATCTAATGTCACCGCTGATCTGACAGGAGGAGGAGCTCAGGTGGTAATGTGACAGAGAGTGGCTGTAAACAGATGAAGCTTCACTTGCTCATCTACCACTAACTTCTTGCTGTGTGGCCCAGGTCCTAACAGGCCAGGGACTGGTACTGGTCTGTGGCCTGGGGATTGGAAACCCCTGTGTTAACTCAAACTTTTTACGTTTATTTTTTGGAAACAGTTTCCACTTATATTCTTGATTCCTCTGTAATTTATAGACAAATTAGAAATTCCCTTTGGAACAAGACAGGGTCTAATATTGTGTTTTTAACATAGAACTTTGAATTAATTTTATCTGTGTATGAGAGAGAGATGTGAAATAAACTGATCATTAATCGCTTTCAATTTCACTTTTATTTCATGCATATTAAGAAGAAAACTGGGAAGCCCTAGGCAGAGCAATTGGGCAAGAGAAATAAAGGGCATCCAAATTGGAAAAGAGAAAGTCAAACTCTCTCTTCACCAATGATATGATCTTATGCCTAGAAAACCCTACAGACTCCTACAAAACACTCCTAGATTTGATAAATGAATTTAGTAAAGTCTCAGAGGTTACAAAATATACAAATACCAATGAATAGTACCACTATACACCAACTACAACCAAGCTGAGAGTCATATCAAGAATCCAATCCTTTTTACAATGGCTGCAAAATAGTAAAATACCTAGGAATATACTTAATGAAGGAGGTGAGTGATCTATCAAAGGATAACTGGAAAACGCCACTGAAGAAAATCATAGATCATACAAATAAATGAACATACATTCTATGTTCCTGGACTGAAAGCATTGATATTGTGAAAATGCCATAGTGCCCAAAGTAGTCTACAGAGTCAATACAGTTTCTACCAAAGTACCAATGTCATTCTTCACAGAGTTATTTTAAAAAGCTGTCATTCATGTAGAACCACAAAAGAGCCTGAATAGCAACAGACATACCAAGAAAAAGGAACAAACATGTTGGCATCAAATTACCTGACTTCAACTCTAAGGCCACAGTAACAAACATCATGGTACTGGTATAAAAGTACATACACAGATCAATGGAACAGAATAGACAACTCAGAAAAAAGGCCACTTACAACCAAATGATCTCTGAGAAAGGATACAAAAACATACACTGGAGAAAGTACACGTTATTCAACAAATGGTGCTGGGAAAAAAAGATAGTCACATATAGAAGAATAAAATTGGATCTCTATCTCTCACCATGTAAAAAATTAATTCAAGATGGATTAATGGCCTAAACCTAAGACCAGAAGACATTAGCCTAGGCAAATAATTTATGATGAGGACCCTGAAAGCAAAAGCAACAAAAATAAAAATAAATAAATAAATAAATAAATAAATAAATAAAGACCTAATTAAACTAAAAAGCTTCAGCACAGCAAAAGAAATAATCATCAAAGTGAGCCAACCACCTATACAATGGGGAAAATATGGGCAAATTATGAATCTAACAAAGGATTAATGTCCATAACCTACCAGAAACTCAAACAAATCAGCAGGAAAAATACAAACAATTCCATTAAAAAGTGGGCACATGACATGAATAGACATTTTTCAAAAGAAGATGTACAAATGGTGAACAAGAATATAAAAACATGCTAAATATTACTAATCATCAGGGAAATGTACAATAAAACAACAGTGAGATATCACCTCACTTCAGCCAGAATGGTCACTACTAAAATAAGAAAAACAGCAGATGTTGGTGTGGATGTGGTGAAAAAAGAAGATTTATACACTGCTGGTGGGGATACAAATTAGTACAAATCTATGGAAAACATTATGGAGAGTTCTGTTAAAGTAGATCTTACCATTCTATCCAGCATTCTCATTTCTGGATACCTACCCAAAATAAAAGAAATCATACTCTCAAAAAGACACCTATATACATATGTTTACTGCAGCACAATTCACATATGCAAAGATATGTTATCAGCCAGTGTCCATCAACTGATGAGTGGAATAAAGAAAATTATATATATATATATATATATATATATATATATATATATATATATATGTATGTATGTATGTATACCTGAGACTGGGTAATTCATAAAGGAAAGAGGCTTAATTGATTCACAGTTACACATGGCTGGGAAGGCCTCAGGAAACTTACAATCATGGCAGAAGGTAAAGGGGAAGCAGGCAACTTCTTCAAAAGGTGGCAGGAGAGAGAGAAGTGAAAGGGAAAGAGCCCATTATAGAATTATCTGCTCTTGTGAGAACTCACTATCAAGAGAACAGCATGGAGGAAACCGACCCCATGATCCAATACCTCCCAGCTGGTCTTTCTCTCAACACCTGGGAATTACAATTTGACATGAGATTTGGGTGGAAACACAAAGCGAAACTATTGGGGGGGGTGTATCCTTACTTTTAAAATATCAAAATGTCATTATTTATATTTCAAAAATAGCAATTTTTATTAGTAATGATTTTGTTTGAAAATAAAATGACCTGGTAAATTTTCTTCAATTTTAGCCTAGTATTTAGTCAAAATATAAAAAGCCGAATTTGCCAGCAGAAAACTGTAATTACTTTTAAATGAGGTAAAGATGTATAAGAATATCACTGTTATTGTACTGAGAAGAAAGTGAATGAGAAAAGGAATTTAAAAAGAGAGTATCACTACCATATACATACATGAACTGACAAAGAGACTAAAATCTCCTACTGGAGATTATGTTAGGACTTAAGCAAAAGCTTCTAAAAATACCAAAAACAGAAAGAAAATAATTAATTTTAACGAATAAATTATACAGAGAAATATGTATTTAAAAAAAAGAAAACAGATCTTCCTGAGAGCTATTATTAACCAATTCATCTTGACCAAAATTTTAAAATGAAGTCTACAATTCTGGAATATAAAATACTTTCATTTTGAACATAGTTAATTGAAGGCAACTTTTATACAGAAAATTTTCGGTTAAAGTTGACTCTAACTTAGGAAAGAAATGACTTGTACCAATGGTAACAACAAGCCACCCAAAAGCCAGTATGAAATCTAGTCAATCAATCAATGACCACTGCTCTTGCTCACCAACCAATATCAATGTGAGCAGCTTGCTTCTGAAATACAGCCACGCAGCAGCACCTGCTCCACCAGAATAGACAGTGCCTGACCAGTATTCCTCTTACTATAGGAAGCAAAAAATTCCAACTCTGTATCTTTATTTCAAATACCAAAGGTTCATAATCCCTTGAAAAGAATTTGTAAGTCCATTAAATGTGCCACCCTAATTTTTTTTTTAAATAAAATACTAGTGGCCAGGCGCAGTGGCTCATGCCTGTAATCCCAGCACTTTGAAAGGCCGAAGTGGGTGGATCACCTGAGGTACAGAGTTTGAGACCAGCCTGACCAACAGGGTGAAACCCCATCTCTATTAAAAATACAAATATTAGCCAGGCGTGGTGGCATGCCCCCGTAATCCCAGCTCCTTGGAAGGCTGAGGGAGGAGAAATACATGAACCAGAAGGCGGAGGTTGCAGTGAACTGAGATCATACCACTGAACTCCAGCCTGGGGGATACAGCAAGACTCCATCTCAAAATAAAATAAAATACTAGTAAAGTTTGCAATTCCTCTGACTCAGTTTACCATAATTACAATTATGTTTACTAGTAAAAGAATAAATAGTGAATAACCACAATATTGGGCTTTTCTCTCTAAATAAAAAAATAATATAAAGAATGTAGCTTATTATAAAGAGCCAAAACAATTTTTAAAATGCATGTAATTACTGGGCAAAACTGTTAGAATGAACCATGTCAAACATTTTTAAAGTGAGAATTAATCAAACAATATATCCAGGATAAACTCCATTCACTCATTTAATAAGTATTTATTAGGTAGCTTCATCCAATATGCTAGGCCTTTTTCTAGGCAGTGAGGATATGGTAGTGAAAAATAAAAACCCCATTCATGAGAGTGAGAAAAACACACAATAACAACAGACAGATAAGGCAAAATATACAGTATGTTAGAGGAGAAAAACTAAAGCAGGAAAATGAAATGTTTATGTGTTTCATGGGGAGGGTGGTGGGAAAGTTGGGGTGGTCAGAAAAGTCCCTGCTGAGAAAGGGGATTTTTTTTTCTAATACAAAAAACCTTTTATTTGTATATCAAAGACTCTAAGAAATGACGACATAAGGTTAACGGCATTGATGTCAAGATACAAATGGGTTTGAAGTTAGAGATGTTAAATCACTTTGTTTCACTGAACCTTCCCTTCATTACGTTAGAGAGCATCCCTGGTAGGCACCCAATTGAACCTCAAGCATGACGCGTCTAGGTAGCATGCTGTTCTTCCTCAGAAAGTGGTTGTTCCTTAATGTCTTTCTTTTTACCCTTTTTCCTCTTCTTCTTAGAAAGGGGGTTTTAAATAAAGAACTGAAGGAATGGAAAGAGAAAGCTAGGAGGATAACTGGGGAAAAAGCATTCCAGACACAGGGAACTGCGAATCACAGAGGTGTGCCTGGCATCTTTAAGCACTAGGGGTAGATAAGGGACGGCAAGAGATCAGTTTGGCTGAAGCAGAGCAAGGGAGATAATTAGGAGGAACTTTGACACATACTCCGGGTGAAATGGGAGATAAACAGAAGGGCTGGGGCAGAGGAATGACACAATTTGACTTATGTTTTAAATACATCCACTGAGTTAAGAATTGATGAAAAGGGAAGTTTTTAAAAACCAGGACTATCAATTCCCAGTCTATGACACTCATCTAGACTGCAGATGAGGGTGGCTCAGATGTACAAGATATGACTGACTTCTGGACATATTCTTCAGGTAGACCTGACAAGATTTACTGAGAGATTAGATGTGAGGTGTCAGAGAGAGAGAGAGATGAGTCAAGAATGACACCGAGATATTTGGCAGAGCAACTGGAAGAGTTGCCCTTAACCAAAAATAGGAAAGACTACATGAGGTGCAGATTTCAGGAAGGACATCAGTAGCCCAATTTTGGATCTGACAAGTGTGTGATACCCAATAACTAACCAAATAGAGACGTCAAGTAGGCAGGCTGATATAGAAATCTGGAATTAAGGAGAAAGATCTGAGCTGGAGACATACATTCAGAAATCACTAGCATATACACAGTAGAAAAAGTCACGAGGGGTCAGGTGCAGTGGCTTACACCTGTAATCCCAACAGTTTGTGAGACCAAGGCAGACAGATCCCCTGAGGTCAGGAGTTTGAGACCAGGGTGGCCAACATGGGGAAATGCTGTGTCTACTAAAAATACAAAAATCAGCTGGGCACGGTGGCATGCACCTGTAATGCCAGCTACTCAGGAGGCCGAAGCAGGAGAATTGCTTGAACCCAGGAGGCAGAGGTTGTAGTGAGCCGAGATCACACCACTGAACTCCAGCCTGGGAGGCAGAGTGAAACTCTGTCTCCAAAAAAGAAAAAGAAAAAGTCACGAGAAAGAAGACTGAGGAGTGAGCCCTGGGAAACAACAATGTCCAAAAGGAGAAAGATGAGGAGGAGCAAGCAAAACAGACCATGATGAATGGACTAGAAAGGCAGGAGGAAAAGCCTGAGGGAGTGAGGTCCTGAAAGCCAAGTGAAGATGCCGTTAGGGAGGAGATGCCCTCCATTGGCTCAAATATTGCTGACAGATTAAATAAAATGAGGTGGAAGAAAAGGGCCTAGATTTATTACAGAAAAAAAAAATAGTGATAATCTTGAGGAAAAACAATGCTGGAGGACTGCTGAAATTGAAGACTTACTGGCATGAGATCAAGAGTGAATGAAAAGAAAATTTGAGTTCGTGAGTGTAGACAGTTCTTTTAAGGACATCATACTTAAGAGTCATGGCTGAGAATGTTGTAATTTTCTTCCACAGTCATGGAAAAGTAATAGACAAATAGTTTCAAATTTTACATAAAAGGTGTAGTTTTCAAATTTTATATAACAATTATATATTTTAAAGCTTATAAAAATTATACACATGTGGCATTAAAAATGCCAGACCAAGGTGTTAAATCTTAAAACTATAGAACTAAAAGTTGCCTTGACCATTTCTAGATTACATAAGCTAATTATCATTTTGTTCATGCTTATACATAAAGACCAAGAAAAACTAAAAGTTTCAAGGAGAGTATTTCTTGCTTGATAAAAATCAGCCAATTCTAGGACAGTTGATGCTCATCGAATATACAAAGTAATTGATCACCATAAAATACTGAATTCTATTAACAGGAATAAAGTGGCAGAAATGCAGAAAATAATCTTATTTTACAAATGAAATTTTTAAAATTATATGAAGTCACTGTGGAAAAATATGGTGAGGTGAATACCAAAATATATCCTTTTCTCAAAGGAAAGATAATGTCACACATGCTGGGCACTTTTATAAATAAGTGTTACTGCATTAGCAGCACCTTCCTTTTAGCACAAGGGTCAGCAAATTAGCACCTGTGGGCCAAATCCAGCCCACTGCCTGTTTTTGTAAGTAAAGAATCTTGGAACACAGCCATGCTTATTCACTTTACAGTCCATAGAGTCAATTAGCTGGGTGTGATGTTGCACACTTGGGGTCCCAGCTAATAGAGAGGCTGAGGTGGGAGGATCACTAGAGCCCAGAAAGTCAAGGCTGTAGTGAGCTGTGATCACACAATTGCACTCCAGCCTGGGCAACAGAGACCCTGTCTCAAAAAAAATAAATATATATAGTCCACAAAGCCTAAAAATTTACTAAATGGCTCTTTGCAGAAAAAGCTGGCCAGCTCCTGGTTTAGCAGATGAAAGATACTTTGATATATTTTAATAAAAGTTTTACCCAATATACTCAAATGTTTATATTAAATATAGATCCCCATGTACAATCCCTTGGCAATATTCAGATTGAAGGTCCAATATTTTGGCACTCAGGCACTGACAACAAAAATTTAATAACTAGCAATCTCGTTGCTAACAAGGTACAGTGTCAATGTAGCGTGTAGCTTCCATTTGCAACACAGCAGATATTACAAGAATTCTAACAAAATTATCTTAAGATGTGTTACCAAACTAAATGCTTTAAATACATTTTAATTGTGAAATAATCAGTATACTCTAGATCTAACCTCATTTGTAAAAAATGTTTGCATACCGTATTATTTTCTGGGTATGAAAATTGAGCCATTTCCTATTGGTAAGGATTTACTTTTGATAATGATAAATTCCTATTGATAAGGATCCATCTTTTTGATATAATAACGCTGTAAGAAATGTCCTTATACATAAGTATATATGTGACAAATCTATACAAATATCCTTAACATACATATATATCCTTACTATGTTATATATGTGTGTGTGCAAATATGCTAATAAATTAATGTTCAAAATATATTTACCAACAGTGTATGAATTGTCTTTTTCAATGAGACCATTTCCTTTGCAGCAACACACATGGAGCTGGAGGCCATTATCCTAAGCAAACTAATGCAGGAACAGAAAATCAAATGCCACATATTCTTACTCATTTGTGGGAACTAAACAATGAAAACTCATGGACACAAAGAGGAGAATAACAGACACCAGGGTCTACTTGAGGGTGGAGTGTGGCAGGAGGGAGATGACCAAAAAACTACCTCTCGAGTATTTTGCTTATTATGTGGCTGATGAAGTAATCTGTAGTCCAAACCTCCATGACACAGTTTACCTATATAATAAACCTACACATGAACTTCTGAAGCTAAAATAAAAGTTCATTAAAAAGAAAAGGAAATGCCTTTTCCCTCACATTTGCCAATGCCGGTTATTTTTCAAATAAATTAATGACTGGAAAAAACGGTAACTCATTGTTTACTGATTTTCATTTTTCTGATTAACAGGCAAGGCTGAATATTCTAGTAAAAGTATAAAATTTGTTCATCATGAAAGCCCAAATTAGGATTAGTTTGACAGCATATAGTTATCTCCTATTAAATGTTGCCATAGGCTTACCTGTGATACTCTTCATTCTCAGTGTCAGGAAATTGCTGATTTTCAGGTTTTCTGCTCTTCCTTTGTGGAATTAATCCATCATCACCATTGCCAGCACTGGCACCATTAGTCAGGTTTTCTGGTAATCCCACAGGATTACTTCCATGCTTCTTTATTTCTTCTTCAACCTTGAGTGGAAGTTTGATATTAAGGATGGTTATCACTTTATTGAATAAAAATAACCTTTTTAATTGATTTTATCAATTGACTCAGTTTGCCATTATTTTAGTCATTAAAAATATTTCACACTTAAATTTGATCATATATACAGAACTATAACCGTATAATTTTAAGATGTAATTATCATGTCATTAGTATATCACTGAAATTTTTGTAAAGTTTGCTTGATTCCAGCTGTTTGACTGAATAAAACAGAATTTTCCAAAATTCAAAAAGGGCCCTCCTTCATTTTGTGCTTTTATTCCCAAAAACTCTTCAGAATCTTATATATGAATTTACCCCATTTGACTCGTGGGAACACAAAAATAAAACGACATAGACACAAAATGTGTCTTCTGTCTTTACCACCTAGATTTTACATTAAACACTCAGATGTAGAGGATGAGACACTGGGGGGCTTCAGGAATAGAAAGGAAGATGGCCCTTTTCTGCACTAAGATATTCTCCTCCCCCACTGCCTTTGATCGTTCTTTTTTCATTTGGTTCCTGGATATCAAAAACATGATGGTGCTCACTGAAACATGAAAACCAAAGTTTGCCACAACACAAGGAGCAGAGTGAAACTGCTGAGGTGCAAGCATGGAATTCCAGAAAATTAGATGCTCCCCAAATTTCACATTCAATAGCTATACAATTTTCCAGCTGGAAATTACAAAGAATAAGTAATTATCTTCTTTAGCCACATTATCTAGTGATAATCAGACTAAAACCAAGAAAGATAAAAGGATTGGTCCAAATCTCCTAAAGTGGCATTACCTAGCATTTTATGGCACCATTCAGGATTGTTCCATAATAATGAAAGAATCTCTCTAGGGTTTGTATCTCTTGAAAACTCAATGTACAGAATTCTTTCTGAGTTAAATATTAAATTTTTCACTGGTGATTTATGCTACTTACATGATAGGATCATGTATGCGTACACTTACTACACTTTGTTAAACAGCATAACATAAAAATCTAATTCCACAGAAACATTTGAACATAAAGGTATACCTCTCTATCACAGTCCTTATTTATTTCTGGTTCTTGAGACATTTTCTGCAGATGCAAAAATAGAAGGTTAATTTGCTTGTTGTATTTCCGTGTATGTCTCCTCTTTTGGAATGCATGTTAAAATAATTTTATTCTTAAGTAATCAAGTATGGACATGAAAAATTAGAAAATAAAATAAAATTTAACTGTTAAAATAATTAAATAAATAAATAATTAAAATTAAGAATTAACTTTTTAATCTATGTTTAGCTACTGCCACATCATTGGCTTCTGACTAACATGGGAAAATAATTCACCTTAGACAAAGGGAGAATAAAAACATGAACCAGCAAACTTAACTTTGTCACCATTTGTTTGGACTAAACTTAATTTGTTATGTGTTAAATCTACCAAAAATGAATTAGCAGATGATTTGTAGTGTTCCAAGGGCTTCCTCACTTGAAAAGAGTATATCTCATGAAACCCTAACTAGTGAGCCCCTATAGTGCACTGAAGTGCTTTTTAAAAAGATTCCTAATTGGATTGTAGGCACGCTTTAAATTATTAGGAGCTGAAATCAACACCAAACAGGAAGAAATGCAAATTCTTAAATTTTAATTGAAATTATATGCTGTAATATGATAGTGTTATGTATCTAGATGATCTGCTTAAGTCCAGTTCTAATATATTCTAAGGTGTACTAATTACAGTGGATAAAAATTTTTTAATAATCTGTACTGATTTTCTGCAACTAAAATAAGGTAGAAGGTTATTGTGTTTGTGCACTAACACCAAATGTCCCATTCTGCAAGATGTGATTCTTGTAATAGGCAGTTGGGTTGCTTTTATGACCTGGTTCCCTCCCTGAACAGAAATGCTGAGGTCAGTGAGAGACCACAAGGCAGAATATGTCTTTAACCTTGGTATCTGTGACTGACAATATAAAACTGCAGATTTTCAATCACTGGCCGTGATTATTCTTTAACCATGAATCCAGCTCAGGGACCTTCAGTGTTACATTGTTCACAGTTCTATTGCTTAATAATATAATCCAATAATTGATGGTACTTTATCATGTTAGGGTGTTGTAAAAATAAAAGAACAAACAAAGGTCTGGAATATGTTTTTGCCTCTATTCCAAAAGGAAAGATTAGCTATAAGCTAATCAAAAAGGCAGATAAGAATATTTTAAATAAGAATACCATAAAATAAGAGTATTTTAAATTTTATAGTGGTTATGTTTTTAAGCTAAATATCAAATGTTAAGTTAGAATTTATTAATTCTTCTGTTAATGAGATTGCTGAATTTATTAAAATAAATTTTAAGAATCTATTAAAAAATTCTTAAAAAAAGAATCTATTGATTCTTAAAACCTAGTCTGAAAGGTAATTTCATTTGGACTATCTAATATTATTCAAGCAAAGAAAACAACGTTAAATCAAAAATTTAAACTTAAAATTTTCCATGCCTCTGGCTGGCTATTTTCACTGACTTTAAGCCTTTGTGACTCTTCCTCTGATGTCAGCTTTAAGTCTTGTTCTGTTGAGAAATCCATATATTCAGTTAAAATGAACCACTTAGAACAGTTAAAAACTATTGCCTTTATAAAAATAGATTGAAGACAACATTTTATTTTATTTCATAAACTGAGTGTTTAGTCTTTCATGAAATAGTTACTTAGGAAATAATTCTCCAAAACTTCAACAAACCACTTGGGGAGACACCTGATGTGATTCACTCACAAATTCATCCACCCAACATAAATGAACAAAACCACCAGAAACACAACTTTAAAATACAGTAGAAACATATAAGGTAACTCAGTATGTTGTTCACTTCCTAATAGTGAAGCAGTAAATGTAAAGAAAAGGAAATTTAGTTTTAAAGAGAAACAAGTTTTCCTGCACTTAGCTAGTCTGACTCTAAGGATAGTAACAAGCAGGCCCAGGAAAGGTCATGGTGACCCTGTCTGAGAAGCCAGAGCCCACAGGTATGGGCTCCAGACATCCCAGAGCAAGGTTAAGAAAACAAATTCCTTTACCATCTCCCCTCCCCCTCAGCATTTATTCATAGCTATTTTTACAAATGCATATATTTTGCAAATTCTTGTTTTCCTTCAATGCAGCTGCAAGGTCACAAGCTATGCAGTGGTTGCAAAACTGTCACTATATGATTAACTGCCTTTGTTCTGCTTCTATAAGTTTGCCTATATAAGCCAAGCCCTGTCTTTGTTCAGGGCTCAGCTTTTTGATGCAAATCCGCTGAGCTGGTGTGCACCTAAACAAAATCCTCTTGTTTGACCCACTGGGTCTCTCCTGCCTCCTGTTTTCTGCAAAAATAGTACCTTACAAACGATTTCCAAAATTACTACTGACACCTTTATTAGTGTACAATGTCTTCTTAACATCTAAAATGTTTCCATCCACTATTATGACAAATTTATTTTCATTTTTCTTTTTTTTTGTTTTAGCTGGGGTCTTGCTCTGTCACCAGGCTGGAGTGCAGTGGCACAATCTCAGCTCACTGCAACCTCTGACTCCCTGGTTCAAATGATTCTCCTGTCTCAGTCTCCTGAGAAGCTGTGATTACAGGCACACACCATCATGCCCAGCTAATTTTTGTATTTTTAGTAGAGATGGGGTTTCACCATTGGCCAGGATGGTCTTGATCTTTTGACCTTGTGATCCACCTGCTCCAGCCTCCCAAAATGCTGCAATTACAGGTGTGAGCCACCACACCCAGCCTTGTTTTCATCTTTTAAAACAATGCTATGGGAAGTCTTCCTTGATTCTGCAGATCTTTCCCCAGATAAACAGGTAACTCCTTCCTTGAGGTTGCCTTAGGACCTCACTGATTTTTCTACTGCACCTTTACCACCTGAACTGTACACTATTCCTCCACATGTCTGTCCCCTCTGCTCCAAGACTGCAGAGGACAGTCTTGCACATCATCTTTGTAAAAACAGTCTTTATTTTACTCAGAAATTTCTTATTGAGTCCTGCTACATACATGCTAGGTGTTAGGGTTTAAAAAGAATGAAAATAAAGCCTGTCAGGGATGGCTTTTCTAGAACACCTGCCCAAGCAGAGACTTAAATATTGAGGCTAGCTAGATTAAAAGTGGTAGAGGGCAAGAAAGGGTGACAGCATGCCACACAGCAGCAAGAGCAGGAGCGAGGCCTGAAAGAGTGAAAGTATTTGCCTGCAATAGAAGGAGGAGTGAGTAGGGCATTAAGAGCCACTCAGTAATGCCAGAGAAAGGGCACACAGGGAAAAGGGCTAAAGATGTAGAATAGGGCAGAAGTCAGATTATGAAAGCCTTATGTGTACCTTTAAGATGCTTAGACATTAACGTTCAAGAGTGGTCCCTGGTCCTATCTGTATTAAGATGTAGATCATTTTAATGCCAAAACCAATATTCCTAGTGAGCCATTATTCATTAAGACAAGGTGACAGCTAGCTCATGTGGACACAGCTGAGATGATACTATGTAGCAAATTCCCAATAATTCTCATGAACACTTGGAAAGTCAATTCTATAATAAGTCATAGAAATTATAATAAATCACTTAATATTTGTTTGGGAAGGTGCTTTATAAAGTTATAGTGTATATGAATATAACTAATAGTTGTGAATTCAGAGCTGTGAGAATAAAGCAAAAAAAATCACACTGTGTTTGAGTCAGCAATCTTTAGATTTCTATCTAGTCTTCCTACCCAGTCCATAAATTCTAAGTATAATCCTAGTACTCGCTCTCAAGTTTAAGTTAAATGCTAGCCTATACAAAAAATACTCTTTCTCTTACTTCTTTTTTGTTATTTATATGTTGCTTTGTTTAAAGGAAGAACACAAAAATGCCCTGCTAAAGGGATTCTGTTTGGCTGCAGGCTGCAAGAGGGGAAAAACACAAAGCACATTTTGCAGAAAATGATTTTTTAGAAGTCAGAACTATGACATGAAGTCAAGCAGGGCACTCTAGGACTGACTTTGCTGTGCTTCCTTAATATGCTCCTTGCTCTCTTTCTTTTCTGGAAGCTGTGACTCACACAGGTCATGGAGAAAATTTCATACTCCTTCCTCATGCCCAGCTTAAATACTAGTGTACAACGTGGAAACCTGTAAATTATCTGACATTTCTCTCTGTCCTCCAAACCTTTCTCATTCAATTATCACTAAATCATATTGACTATACCTCTCTTCTGCCTCTGCTTTATATTACCACTTCCACTGAGAACATAAACATTTACAAAATGGCTTTTATTACAAAAAAGCCTTCCAACTATTAATGTTATTTCTTACATGAAAAAAATTAAGCAAAACAAATGAAAAAAGCATAACACCAAAAAAAGGCCAACACATTAAAATGAGTAACGGAGATTCCAAACTTTATTTCACCATGGGCAGGTGAAAACCTTAGAATACATTGATACTAGTCCAAGGATGTGTGACATGGAAACTATAGCTGACTACTGCAAAAGCTTCCTTTGTCTCCTGGTTTCTTTACATGGTTATCTTCCATCAATCCCAGCAAACTATAGGCCACAGGACAAATCCAATCTGCCTTTTGGCTTTGTAAATAAAGTTTTATAGGAGCTCAGTCATGCCTGTTTGCTTACATATAATCATGGTGGCTTTCACACTACAACAACAGACAACAGCCTGGTTAAGTAGATATGACAGAGACCACATAGTCTAAAATATTTCCCACCTGGTCCTTTACAGAAAAAGCTTGCTAACCCATTTTACACCATAAGCAGAATATGCCTTAATATTCAAATTTAATCTTGTAACTCCCCTGCTCAAATTTCTCCAATGAGCCCCTGCAGCACACATTGTTGGCTCCTATCAATAGCCATTCCTTATTCTTTCTTGCAGAAGAAACACAAGTCTATTGGGATATTTATTATCCCAATCCCCCTCCTCAGCCTCAGAAAGAGAAATGTTTATTCTAAGCTAATCATGTATTTGCCATCCCATTGCCTGGTTTGGGAATGAGCATGTGGTGTGACCCAGCCAATGAAATGTTACAGGAAGCCCCTTGCATGCTTCTAAGTTTTCTCCCTGTTTAAAAGACACATGTGAAGAAAAGCAGCCCTTGAAATGTTGTGTTGTGAGAACAAGATGTTTGGAGCTGCTGCGGATTAGCCAACCACAAAAGGAAACATGAAGAAAACACTGCCAACAGCACAGCTGAAAGAGGGACAAATGGGATCCTAGGATATCACTGAACAACCAAAACAACTCTGGTTCCTACTGTTTTAGCCACTGCTCATCTAGTATTTACAGTCCAAAGCATTCTACCTGGTAAATTTCCCATGGCCCACAGGGTAAGACCTACTCATTTCTATAGTATTAAAAAAGTCTATCATAAACTTGCCTTAGCTAAGTATTCACCTCATTCCCAAACTCTGGTGTCTCACACTTTTGGTACTAGCAAAAGTGAACTGCTCAGAAACCCTGCAAAGTTCACTCGGCATCTTGTCTTTTGCAGTTGTTGCTCTTCCTGCCAAACAGGCAATCTCATCAGATGTTCTTCTGGCAAACACACAAACTTGTTGCATGTTCCTCCTGCCAAAAATTATTCTTCTGCTTCTTTACCTAGAAAAATTCTTCTCACTCTGCAGGCTTACTTTGAATCATACCTACTTTTTTTCAAAACTTTCATTCCTCATCACGTATGTCTGGCACATAATTAATACATAATAAATCATAATTTTAAGCTTCCAGTTGGCAACTAGCACACAGTAAGCACTGAATAAAGTAGTAAAATAATAAAAATGACAATGATAATAACAAGCTCCTGTCTGTATTTTTAATTGTGTGTGTTCTGTAGCATTAGAAAAATGATTAGTATCTAAAAGACATTTGATAGTTATTTGTTAAGTGGACAAGTGAAAACATAGAAATGTTTTCTTTGTAAATTCTGTTGAAAAAGCACAGAAATGAAATAGAGACACCTCTATTATGAGCACCTTAAAGATCAAAACTACATCTATTCCATCTTTGTCTTCTGCAACTTATAAAACCTAACTTACAGAAGCTTTTTGATAAATAGATGGCTAAATTAAAGGTGTCCTCATCCAGTTTGGATTATACAATGTATTAGGTGTCCACAACCAGGTGGCATACTAGTATTTTTGTTAATGTGAAGCATTTTTCTACTTTTATTATAATCTGCTGAGCCTAGAGTTGGGCAATTTGTATATTTATTATGACAATCTTTTGGTAAATGGTAGCAGAGCATCTTGTTCTAACAAAATTACTGTTATCAAGACAATTGACCAGCAGGTAGAGAACACATCTTGTTCAAACAAAGTAAATGTATCTCTTTCCAACTTCAAATGAGGAGGAATCAAGTCAGTAAGAGTGAGACCTTGTTGGGACAAGGATATGTAACATGACTTGTGCTTTGGCGTTCTTTTGTGATCAAAAATTCCTTACTTTTATTTTTTTATCTATGGTAGGACCACCCAGAGCAGGGGTCCACAACTCCCAGGTCACAGACTGGTACCAGTCCATGGACTATTATGAACCACACCACACAGGAGGAGGTGAGCAGCAGGCAAACCAGGGAAGCTTCACCTGTACTTACAGCCACACCCCATGGCTCATATTACCGCCTGAACTCTGCCTCCAGTCAGATCAGTGATAGCACTAGATACTCATTGGAGCATGAACCCTATTGTGAACTGCTCATCTGAGGGATCTAGGTTGTGTGCTTCATATGAGAAACTAATGCCTGATGATCTGTCACTGTCTCACTTTGCCCCCAGATGAGACCATCTAGTTGCAGAAAAATAAGCTCAGAGTTTCCACGGATTCTACATTATGGTAAGTTGTATAATTATTTCATTATATATTACAATGTAATAATAATATAAAGTAGCACAATAAATGAAACATGGCTGAATAATCCTGAAACCATCCCCACCTTCCCCCAGCCCATGGAAAGACTGTCTTCCACAAAACCGGTCCCTGATGCCAAAAACATTGTGGACAACTGACCTAAAGTAATTCATTATCACAAGTCTTACCTGGATTGCTGTTTTCAGAAGAGATTTTTAGCATCTGTTTTTCTTTATAGTCAGAAAGTAATTCACAAATTCTATGTATAAAAATGTAATAAACCAAATTACTATTTTAATACTGATATAAAAAATACTTACCAAATGTAAAATTCTTAGAGTATTTCAAACAATATCATAATATCAGAATTTAACAGTATTATCCCATACACTTATGAGTACATTCTACAAACTTTTCTTTAAGCTTCTAATTAAAGAAGAAAAAAAATTAGGTGAAATGCTCATAAATCAAGGGCACTGTGACCCAGTAAATCAGCATGCATTAGCATGACATAATAGAAAGTGTCCCAACTCTGCATAAGTCCTAGCTCCATAATGAACAGCTATTTGTTCTTGGACAACTTTCTTCTCTTAGGCTCAATGTCTTCTTCTACAAAGTGAGGACTTTGCTGCCTTATTTCACTAGGTTGTTATAAAGATTTAACAAGGTAACATTTTTTAAATGCTCAGAGAAATAGTAAAGCAATGGAATAATCTGTTCCTAAACTTTATGACTAAAATTATCTTGGAATCCCAAATAAAACCCCATGTGTATTTTGTTCATAGGTTCTAATATGCAAATGCTGTAGTTTTCAGAAAATGTTATTAAGTCCTAATTTTGCTTCTTAGTTGTCCTACTCCTTATGGCTTATCATTCAGGGCATCTCAACTGTGTCATAGTTTGTAACTAAATTTTTTCATAAATCTCTCATTAAAGTAGATAATGTGATTGTCCACTATTACGGAGTTGACCAATTTGTTGTGCTAAGGGCAGAAAAACCAATGGATGTTAAGACCTGGCTTGGAGCAATGATCCTTCTCTACAGACTCAAACTCTGAGCCAGCAGATGTTTGTTAGGATAATGCTTTATGTTGATGTTCAATTCCAGCTGACATGGGAGACCAAAACTCTACTTTTATTTTTTTTCAGTTTTCATGAAGAAGTTGCAAATTGACATTCTCTAATTTTTGACGTACATACTTATAATATATTTTGCACTGAACACATTATTGAGCTCTAAATCATCTCACAGACCATCTTCCATGACTATTTTTGCAGCACAAATCACATTTCGATATTTTGGTGGCACCCATTTTGCTTTGATTCACACTGTTTCCTTAGAGCTAGTCAGCAAATAGTGAAATGATCTTCCAGTGACTGCACAAAATATGGAATGCTTCAAAGAGTTGTGCTGCCTCCTTATGCAGAAGCCGTGCTAACTTTCTCTGTATTGTTCCAATTTTAGGATATGTGCCGCCAAAGCAGGCACAAAGCCCTACTTTTACACATGATTTGTGATGAGTCATGGGCAAGGCTTGGCTCTTGTCCATGACTCATCACTACTTACTTAACCCACTTGAGATTCTGAGAATTCTCTTCAATGGCTTCCTGTGAGGTACAATTTGAAAATATTTTAAAATCTTGAGCTAGAGATGGAAGTAGCTTGGACGATTTTCATTATCATGTAAATCAGATCACTCAAGGGGCCAACCACAGCTGGGAGCCACTGCTTGGGGAAGGCTCATATGGGACTTTCTACTGCCTAAGGTTCTACACAGGATATAAAGGTGCCTCACAGTGTAGATCTGGTAGCAAAGAAGAAGAAACAAACACTGATCTCTTTCTGCCACATTATTTGAACCCCTCTGACCCTTTATAACAAGCCCACCTCATATCTGCTAGAGAAAAGACCAACAACGGCCTGAAAGGATCTCTTACCATGAAGGTCTCAGCTAATTCTTAGCTAAGATGTGGGTTCCACATTAGGTTCTGAATACAGGAGGAAGGGTCAATTTGCTCACTTTGTGTGCGGATAAAGTCAGGATGCCCAGCGGCCAGAGCAGGGTGCTGGTGCTTTGGGAACAATGGCTGAGCATATAAGCATAGGTAAGGGAACTAAAAAATGTTGTAACTTCAAAGTCACTGTGTGAATCCCCATGAAGACTTGAGGGATCTGAATCAGTAAGGGCACCTTGGTGTCAAAGGTCAACAATTACCAGGCAGCAGAAGCAGTTTGAGTGGCAACAATGCAGCAACAGAAACAATGGAAACAACAGAATGATTGGAATGTCCTTTTTTCTCTCCTCCTTCTGACTTGATAAAAGGGACTGTCTTCCTTGGATTTAGTGAACCCCTTTGGTTCTTGAAAAATTCAAGGAGTATGTAGGAGACAGTCCCCAGAAGACAGTACAAGGCTTTCTGCTAAACTGGACATTTCAAGACCCAAATAACTAATCAGAAAAATCAAAGATGTGATACTCTTTTTTATGCCATGCATAGGTGTTATACTTGGATGAAATGAACAATATTGGGATCTCTAAGGATAAAGGTCTTAAAAGTCCTGAGGTAAAGAATCCTGCACCCATTGGTACTTCTAACTTGTCTTGCTTTTTGTCTGATTTCTGGCTGATGCAGGGGACTAACTCACTGCCACTCTAAAACTACCTGAACCAAACTATGACATCTCACCTGATATGTAAGATGCAATTGTTATAATTATTTTAAACCTCAATTTAGCATTAACTAGCCTTTTCATGTAAACACTTACACATGATGATGACTAGAAACAGCATACTCTCTGGCCGTCTGTCCAGATAGATCTTGAGAAGATACATCAACATTTTGCTCAAGTAGAAGATTGACTATACTTGCTGATCCACAACATACAGCAAGTATGAGGGCAGTTCTAAAATTACAGAGATAATTTCTCCTTTAGGAACTGTAATAAAGTTATTTTAAAAGCTAATTTGATATACTTTACCAATTTGACATCTTGCCTGTCCATGCAGAATCAAACATTTACATGCGCTAAAAGACATAAGCATCTTGGGTGCTCAAGAGTTCATCTTTGTAAAATACCACCAAGGTTAAAAGGAAGGGACAAAAAGGAAACCTCTTATCTCAGTGGGGTATTGCATAGCAGAAGCTACTAATTTAAAGTCCTTTGATGGGCAAGAAACAATGCTAGGGCCACTTATCTGAAGTGGACAAAGATTTAAGTGAAGATTTTGTCACAGCTTCCCTAGACTGATATGCTGTAATAGAAAATTAGCTAGGGGCTAAGATAAATAAGAGCTCTCTGCATGCTGAAAGCAGTAATATTAATAATAATGGTAAGAATAGTAGTCACAGGAGTTTCAGTTAATGATGCCAATAAGCATGTGCTACGCACTGAATTAAATGCCACACGTATCTTTCTTGCTTATGCACAGCCAACTTTGAAGGATATATTCTCCTACTTTTCACATATGACAACATATTGGGTGGTAAATCACGTTCCCAATGTCACACACGTAGCAAGTAAGAAAGTTAGGAATTAAACCCAGTCTTGTGTGAATCCAAAGCGTAGCTCTTTTCTCTTTATCACCCACCTACAGCTTGCCTTCATTAAAGGAAAAGTGTATCCACTTAAAACTATCTTCACTCCCTCTCTCCATACCAACTAAAAATAAAAACATCAAAATACACTGGAAATAAAAAAGGAAAAAAGCTGTTGAACCCACAGTATGTGGGAATAGCAATTAATTGTCATGTAGGGATAAGCTAACATTAATATTCTTCAAAGAAAGCAACTTAAAGCAGAGTCATTGAAAAGACAAAAGGATTTTCAACTCCTATTTATGTTTAATACAGCATATTTAGTGGAAAAGCATATAAGATACAGAGGTTAAAACCTACTAGAAAGGGTTAAAAAGTTCAATACTGAGTCATAAAGTAAACTGAAAGTTAAAGTTCAAACTTCATAAAATTAATATGAAATCCCTTTAGCTAACATAAGATCATGTAACCAAAAACATCATACAACAAATAACATCAGTCAATATAATAAGAGAAGATGAATCCTACTAAAACAGTTCTTTATGTTGCCCAGTCCAAATAATTGCTTTTCTACTTAACTGATTTGTGTTGATACTGATCACTATGTCCCAATAAGTATAATTTGATCTTATTAATTTATTATTTATGACTTGAGTGACTGCTATCAATCTAGAACAACACACAGATTAAAAGAAATAACCATACCTTCCATATCTATCAAGTGCATTTAAATTAGCTTTTTTCTTGATTAAAAATTTCACCACTTCCTGTTTTTGTTCATGTACGCCAAGCAAAAGTGGTGTGAGGCCACACTGTAAAACAATATAAAACAAAAACAATATGTAATTCAAAAAATTATGTATCTCTCAACTGAACTGGAAGCTTATGGACTTACACTCACAGAAAGTAAATAAAATTTGGTCGCTTCCTTCTCACTCTTCTGTACTTTCCCACGTGCCACTCCTTCCCTTGGAAACATCCCTTCTCTGCCTCACCACATTAAATCTGATCATCTCAAAAACTCACTTTAAACATTTACTGTTTCCAAGACTCTTTGTTTCTAAATGAGCATTTGGCATGGCACTTTTGGATGATTTTTTTTTCATTTAAACAAAAAGCTTCTTGAGGGCAGGGGCTGTATCTTTTATCTCTATTATTATCCAATCCTAAGACAAAATTGTTGTGTATAAAGCAAGAATTTGAATGTAAAATATTTCTTTAGTTTCACATGTTTTACCAAAGTTCAAGCTCCAACATGCAATAAATATTGCTATTAATACTCACACTGCCCATTTCAAGAATTTTTTCCAACATTTATTCATTTAAAATCTATTTGTATTTAATTTTTCCAGATTGTTAACTAGATAGATAATCAGTTCATAGGATTACTGAAACTAAGAGATTTCCTATCTGTATTCTTAATAACTCCATGGTTTTGAGTGTTTAAACCTGCCATCCTGATTAAGCCAAAGCTCTACAAACTTAAGAGACATACTGGATAGCCCACAATATAGCTTCAATTGACAAAAAAGGTTTAGAATTTGCTACAATTCTGAGAAAACTCTGCTCTTAAAAACGACTTACTGACCTAAGCACTTGAATGATTGAACAAAGGGACACAAAGTCCTGAGAGAGCCATCCTCTACTTATTGGAAGACTACTCACTGCAAATTTCTAAAGACCTTCTGAATGGCAGTGAATAACTGATGGTAGAAAGGAAAAGGTATTATTCTGTAAGCTGATAGATAGTGCCAATAATATTTATTTTAATGTCCCAACGACAGAGATAAGTCAGACTAGGCCAGGAATGGTGGCTCACACCTGTAATCTTAGCATTTTGGGAGCCTGAGGTGGGTGATTCACTTGAGCCCAGGAGTTCAAGATCAGCCTGAGAAACATGGCAAAAACCTCATCTCTACTAAAAAAAAAAAAAAATACAAAAACAGATTGGAGGACCACCAGAGCTTAGGGACGTCAAGGCTGTGGTGATCTGTGACCGCACCACTGCACTCCAGCCTGGGGAACAGAGTGAGACCCCATCTCAAAAACAAACAAACAAAAATTTAGATTAATGTTATTGGAAAGGAAAGATTTAAAGGAATTAGCACATATCCAACTCCAACTCTTCTAGAAATATCTGAAGTTTCTGAGATATAAGAATTTACATATTACACTTATGTATTCAGTGGTTAAGCAGGAGTGTATCCGGATTTTGAGAAATTTGTTGTTGTTGTTGTTAGAGACAGGGTCTCATTATGTTGACCAGGCTAGACTAGAACTCCTAAGCTCAGGCAATCCTCCCACCTCAGCCTCCCTAGCAGCTGGGACTACAGCCATGCACCACCATGCCTGGCTTCAAGGAAACATTTTTAAACATACATATCCAGGCTTTATTAGACTTACTCTATCAAAATCTTCAGGGGAAAACCTAGACTTGAAGATTATTTAAAAATTTTCCTGAGGTAACTGGAATGCACAACTCTAGCTGGAAGCTAGTGCAATAGACAATTATTTCAGTCTCATCTCTCATCACATAAACAATTCCCTTTATCATTTGAGGATTTGGCCAAAAAGAGGAAAGAGTAGGAGAGAGACTCATTTGCTGAAAACACCACAAAATTTTCCCCGGTAAGAGTAGAACAAGGTCTAGTAAACTCAAAATCCAACCTGATCTTTTTACTTATAAGCCCCTTATCTCCCACCTTCCCATCAAGACATTCTAGAATTGAAAGCAGAGTTGAGACTCTAATTGGCCATTTCTACCAGAATAGTATACTAAGTTGGTTAATTACTTGTTATTCCTTCTACTCAAGGGTTTCCCACTACATTACCACATATTCACTGCCAGTCTGGTTCCTCAGAGGCCTCCTAAAATTGATCTCTAGGCAGTTTACAACCCACTAACTCCCTCTCCCAAACTGAAAACTGTCATTCTCTAAAATGGAAAAGAACCCTGTCTCACCATATAAAGGAAACAAATGAATGAACAACAATAACAACACACACACACACACACACACACACACAAACAAAAACAAAAACAAAAAAAAACCTCTTCATGGTCTTTTCCCCCATTACCTAATTTCCAAGTTGGCCTTGGTATTTCTGATTGCTGCATTTTTCCCTTTCCAATTCTGCCTCATGAGCAATCAGAAATATCTTAAGCCTTGCCACTGAGAGATACATCACCTCATATCTATTAGTGTTTTTTTAGGAATTTGCCAAAGTAGCAGGATTACTATTCACTGAAACATGTTTAAGTTTTCTTGGAGTTTTAATGTAAAACCTATTTCCAGGGCAAATTTTGTCATTTTACATTTGTTAGGGGAAAAAAAACTTGACAGGGAAAAATTGAAAAAAAAAAAGTATTACCTTTTACAAATTCAGTGTTTTTTTTTTAAAAAGCATTAACCACAAGTGCACTGAAAAAAACTGTACCCTCTAATGCTTCTTTAAAAGTAACAATATTTAAAATAAAGTCTTAGATAATTAAGTCATTTCAAAATATTTTCATTCAGGTTATGCTTGAGCTTCCAAATACGGAAAACTGGCCCTTACACAGGTCAATGTTAACACGAATGCATTTCAGTATTTTGAAGATAAAATTGGTAGATCTATACCTTGTTTTTTGATTCAATATCAGCACCATATAAGAGCAGTGCTTTGGCCATTAATTTATCTTCATTGTAGATAGCATAGTGTAGAGCGGTATTTCCATACTCATCTTGAATATTTCCATCAGCGCCATGTTCCAGCAACATTAACACACATTCATCTTCCTGGCATTGTACGGCCTGTCAGTATTAGACCAAAAACAAATTATAAGTCCTAGGAATTCAAAATAACATTCCACAGCTTTCACCAACTAGTTATATTTAAATGAGAAAACTCATTTTTATGCTATCTATTGAAATCAAACCCATCTCACGCTGATATAGTTGACTACTGCATACCTTTATCAGAGCTGTCCTTTTTTTGTTGTCAAGGACGTTAAGTTGACATCGTCTGTCCAGCAGGAGTTGTACTACTTCTGAATTTCCATTGGCAGAGGCCAAATGTAGAGCAGTCCTATGAGAGTGAGAAGACTTCAGGAAATTGTAGTGCACTAGCTAATGCCACATTAATGATTCATGTAGTTGCAAACACTGAATAGCCTATTACTCTGCCTTCAAAACAAACTCAATTTTCCTTTGAAGAAAGCACACTACTTATTACCTCTCATTAGTCACTGTATTAATGAAAGAGCAGCCTATTTGAATAGAAAGAGCATAGCTCTTGGATGACATTCAACTTGGGCTGGAATCCTACTTGAAGCTCTGTCGCTTCCTAGCTGTTGCTTAGCCTTTTTGTGTCTCAATTTCCTCATCAATAAAATGGGAATGAAAATAGTCAGTTTCTCAGAGGAAACCACTGTAATGCTTAAATAAGACTCTACACAAAATATAGAATAGTTCCTAACACAAATAACAGCTCAAAACTTGTAAGATATTATAATTTTTACTAATACCACTAAAGACAACATTTGAATTAAGTGAAACGATACAATTATACCTACACTTTCAGGTACATTTTAAAGATTACAGGTAGCGTTGTACTGTATTTTATTGAGTCTAAGATGATCATTGTCTCCATGTTTTAACATTTCTTACACTGAAATACCACTTATTAATTCATGATTTACTATAATTATAATTGGCAGCATTTAAATAATTTTCTTAGTGAGACATAAAATAATGGGGCATCATACAATCCCTGGTGCCTTACATTAAGTAGAATATGTTATAATATAACAGGTCTGGGGCAGTTCCAGTCAGATGACTAGCATTTAGATAAATTTTAGTTCTTAAAAGAACTATGGAATAAGAGGGCTGAGGTGAAAACAAAAACAATTTTCTAAAATAATCTATTTCTTACTTTGGTTTTCAAAAACTTTAAGCCAAAGAAATCTTGAAATTCAAATGAATAGCATGGGCTCATTTTTTTCAATACTTAGATTTATACAACGTATGTACATCAGATATTTCCAATCATTCATATTAGGATTTAAGACTGTTATAAATTTTCTCTTTTTAAAATGGATTTATGAAACTATTTGTGGAGCTTTTTTCAACTTTTACATTCGGGGATACAGGTGCAGGATGTGCAGGTTGGTTAACATAGGTAAACGTGTTCCAAGAGGGTTGGCTGTACAGATTATTTCATTACTCAGGTGTTAAGCCTAGTACCCATTAGTTCTATTTCCTGCTTCTTTCCTTCCTCCCACCCTCCACCCTCTGATAGGCCCCAGTGTGTGTTGCTTCCCTCTAGGTGTCTGTGTGTTCTCCTCATTTAGCTCCCACCTATAAGTGAGACCATGCAGTATTTGGTTTTCTCTTCCTATGTTAGTTTGCTAAGGATAATGGCCTTCAACACCATCCATGTCCCTGCAAAGGACAGGCTCTTGTTCTTTCTTTTATGGCTACATAGTATTCCATGCTGTTTATGTACCACATTTAAGTTCTTAAAACAGCTAAAACAGTGTTTACCCAAGTCTTATACATTTTCAAAAGGGCAGTTAAGGGTTATCTTTTACTATTTTCCACCTTCAGAAGTGCTTTTGTTTGAAAGGAGGGAGGAAAAGCTTCAATTGAGATTAAGTCCTAATGCCCCAATTTTGATTCTCTCAGCTTGCTCAGGTGCAGCAGGTAAACATGAAGTTTTCAAAGGTGGAAGGATCCTGAGAGATAGCAGAATATGCCTGCCATATAATAGGTGTCTGGCTTATGTTTGATGACTAAACGGATTGAAAGAATGGATAAACATAGGTTGGAAGTTCAATATTTTTTAAAGAAAACTCCTGTTGAGTAGAGCAATACATTTGCGATAGTAACGATCATTTATATTTGCTATTTTAGTTTTCATAAATATATAACTAAACTAAAATAATTAATCCATACTATTTACACATCAATCTATATATAATAAGATGTATACACAATAAAATCTACCAGAAGAGGTAAACAGAAGCCCTCTACTTCTGAAGAGGGTAAAAGTTCACAGAAGATAGCCATCCACAGGTATAAAAATAAATAATAGAATGTAAGAAATTATTTGTATCTATGCAAGTAGCATATTCCTTCTCTTCCCAAGGATTATTTCATTACTAATGAAACTTAACTAAAACTTTGCAGATGTTCATTGCAGAAATCACAGATAAGAGAAAGGGAAAAACTTCACTTACAAATCCCCAGAAATAAGTTTGATTATATTTTCCACATATTTCCAGCTAACACAAGAGCAGATTCTATTTGTGTATATGTATAACAAACTGATTTTTTCTCACTTGATACAGCAAAGTACATCTCTGCATGCCGACATATCTCTGTATCTACTGACACCCTCAATGGTTACATATTATTCCATCCTATGGATGCACTGAAATTTGTTCATAAAATCTTTATATGAGTTCTTCTAAATACATGGCTATTTTAAGCAATACTAAGAAAAACAGCTGTGTCTGTTTCATATAGATATTTCAGTATAATGGAACAGATGGGTAAAAGGCATACACATTTTAAAAATGTGGTTCTTACCATCAAAGTGTCTATTTGAAAAGCCGCAGCAACTTAAACTTTCAGCAGGTATATAAGTACCACTGTTCTTCACCCTCACAAACTTTGTGGACACAAAACAGTATTTCATTCCTTTATATTTATTTATTTATTTTTTTGAGATGGAGTCTCACTCCATCACCCAGGCTGGAGTGTAGTGGTGCAATCTCAGCTCACTGCAACCTCCGTCTCCCTGGTTCAAGCAATTCTCCTGCCTCAGCCTCCTGAGTAGCTAGGATTACAGGTGCATGCCACCATGCCCAGCTAATTCTTTGTATTTTTAGTAGAAACGGGTTTCACCATGCTGGCCAGGCTAGTATCAAACTCCTGACCTCGTGATCCACCTGCCTTGGCCTCCCAAAGTGCTGGGATTACAGGCATGAGCCACCATGGCTGGCCTTTCATTCCTCTTCTAACTTAAACAGAAAATAGTCTTTCATTCCTCTTCTAACTTAAATTCCTTCTCTTAGCAGGAATGCTATGTTTTCCTATGTACACAGGTCACTGGTAGACATGCAAAAAAGTACCTTGCCCAATTTTAAATTGAGCTTATTTTATTATATCTGCATATATATGCCGGTTTCAGTGGCTCATGACTGTAATCTCAGCACTTTGGGAGGCTGAGGTGGGTGGATCACAAGGACAGGAGTTCAAGACCAGCCTGGCAAAGATGGTGAAATCCCGTCTTGATTAAGAACACAAAAAATTAGCCAGGCATGGTGGTGGGTGCCTGTAATCCCAGCTACTTGGTAGGCTGAGGCAAAGAATTACTTGAACCAGGAACCAGAGGTTGTAGTGAGCTGATATTGCACCACTGCACTCCAGCCTGGGCTATGGAGTGAGAGTCTGTCTCAGAAAAATAAATAAATATTTGCACATATAAATAGGCATTTGTGTTTTCTTCTGGTACTTTTCTCCTTTTGTATCTTTAAAATTTTTAATCTATACTCCAGGAACTTATTTTTGTGACATAAAAATCTAGGTAGTTTTCTCCAAACAGCATGCATTTAATTTATGAATAATTCACCTTGTTTTACCAATATGAAACATCACCATTATCAAGTGCTAAATTCTTACATATATTTGGGTATTTCTGGATTTCCTATTCTGTTCTGTTCACTTATGTCTTTTCAGCTGTTAGTAAACAATTTGTGGAAATAACACACGCACATTTTGATATCTGGAAAAGCAAGTCTTTTTCCATTCTGTTACAAAAAATCAATTTATCACAATGATAAAATACATCATGTGCAATTTAAAGACACTAAGACTTTGCTATTTTTATTTGGCTTATGTAAAAGTGATAAACACAGAAAAAGCTCACATCTTAAGAAAAACGAACCTTCCTATTCAAAGATATGAACCATACTTCCCATTTCAGTTTCCTTTTAAGGTTACTCAGTAAAGAACGTGTTTACATAGGGTACACATCGATATAAAATCCATATTGGATTTTATTTGAAAAATATTTAGCCCAGAAGTTGATATATTATGGGACTTAGTTCTCAATATACACCTTTCTATAGTGTATAGAACATTGTTTTAAAATGTGTACATTAAAAATAATCTGCTGCATCGACTTAATTTTGCGAGTTAAATCACTTTAAAACCGTCTATTAGTGTTCTATAAGGGAAATTATAATTGGATTGGAAATCAGCTAAAGTTTTGTTTTTGTGTTGCTGTTTATAAAGGGACCTGGGCCCTGACATCTCTGAGGTTTCCACACCCAGGGTGGTGTGGGGCCTGCGGAGGAAGAGAAAGCCTGGCTCCTCCCTCCCTGTGCCAGGAGGGTATGTCCCCATCATCCCCCCATGTCCCGCCTCTTCCCATCCCAGGCCCGGTTACCTCTTTTGCTTGTCCCTCTTGTTCATGTCAGTGTCCCTGAGCATGACGATGAGATCCTTTCTGGGGACTTTACCCCACCAGGCAGCTCTGTGGAGCTTGTCCAGATCTTCTCGACGGACGTGGTACCTCGGCTCCATGAAGGCGCTGTCGTCGTAGTCTCCCCAAGTGCCCACGTTGCTCTTGCCGCTCCCCCTGCAGCAGGGGAAGCAGTGACAGCACCACTTGCCCATCTTGCTCCTGAGTGTCTTCATAAAGGAGTTGTCATGGTCTCCAGAAGTGCCCACATTGCTCGTGCCGCTCCCCCTGCAGCAGGGGAAGCAGTGATGGCAACACTTGCCCATCTTGCTCCTGAGCGTCTTCATAAAGGAGTCGTCGTGGTCTCCAGAAGTGCCCATGTTGCTCTTGCCGCTCCCCCTGCAGCAGGGGAAGCGGTGGTGGCACCACTTGCCCATCTTGCTTCTGAGATCAAATGGCTTCTTCACAGCAGAGGCAGCGGGCATTGAACAAACCTCAGCCACCATCTGCTTTTAACAGCCAGGGGAGGCCGGTAGTAGCGAACAGATCGCGTCTACCAACCAGTTTCACCAACTAGCAGGAAACCCTGGGTTTCCAATCTGTTTGAAGAGAAAGGTCAATCCCAGCCAAAACTTGCCAAGCCCAGCAAGGGAGCCCAGCCCACCCCACCCAGGGAAAACCCACACCCACCCGGGGAAAGCCCACGCCCACCAGGGGGACCCCACGCCCACCCCAGGAAAGGCCAAGCCCCCCCTCCCAAGGAAACACCCAGCCCAGTCAAGGGAATGCCAAACCCAGCAGAGAAAAGGTCAAGTCCAGCAAAGGAATGCGAGGGAGGAAACGCCAATCCAAGCAAGAAACACCAGGCAAAGCTACTAACAGCCAAGCCAAGCTAGGAACGCAAGGCCAAGGGAGGAACGCCAAGCGAAGCGTACCCGTTACAGGTAAGCCAAGCCGTTATGCGCGTGCGGGGCGCGCGTGCGGGGCGCGCGCCTCAGACGTTATGCGGCGTGTGCGTGAGGCGTGCGCGTGTCATTGCACGTGGTCCAGGAAGTGGCCGATGTGTGCAATCCGCGTGCGCAAGTCTTGGCGCCACAAATGTCAGTGACAGCCTTGCGTTACTGGCAAAGTTCATGGGAGTTGGCCCAGCTTTCTGGCCACTGAGGAGAGAAGCCTGTGGTGGGAAAAAGCCTCTTGAAGCAGGACTGGGGCTAGAGCGCCTGGAACTCGAGGATGCTGACAGCCTCCTCTGAGGAAAGCCCCCAAGACACTAGTGGTGGCGCTGTTGCGGGTGGCCGCCGCTGCAGCTTAGAGCTCTGGTTGGCGGAGCTGGATGCAAATGGCCTCAAAATCTCCGAGCACAAGACGCCCACGGAGCCCAGGGCCTGCCTGAGGCGCCTTCCACACCTGCTCCTCCTTGGTCCGCACCCAGAACACAGGGCCATCAGCAACGGGGCACTCGGGGCCACAGAATCGGGGCTGGGCTGCTAGCTCCTGCTGTGGTGCCCCCTGCCTGGTGTCCAAACCAGGGCCAACAGCTGTGGGGCTTCTGGCCCGGGGTGCTTCGCTTCACTGGCATGCAGTAGGGTTGAGGTGCAGGCCGCTGTCTCCAGGCCTGCAAGAGGGGGCTGGGAGGAGCACCTACCACTGATGGGGAGATGCAGGAAGGCACCCCCACGTGCAGATCCTGGGAACAGGACACTGCCAGCACCAGGGAGCCAGATCGGAGCCTCCCTGGCAGCCTGTGAGCTGGACCCAGGCAGTGGCACCTCTACCCTCCTGCTGGGACCCTCCTGCTGTGCAGGCTTATGCAGCCAGGCTCCAGGCTGCTTCACCCATACTGCAGGTGCTTTGGTGTGGGAGGAAAAATGCATTCTGGCCGGGCACTGTGGCTCACGCGTGTAATCCCAGCACTTTGGGAGGCTGAGGCGGGCGGATCATAAGGTCAGGAGATAAAGACCATCCTGGCTAACACGGTGAAACCTCATCTCTACTAAAAATACAAAATACTAGCGGGCATGGTGGTGGGCGCCTGTAGTCCCAGCTACTCGGGAGGCAGGAGAATGGCGTGAACCTGGGAGGCGGAGCTTGCAGTGAGCCCAAGATCGCATCACTGCAACCTGGGTGACAAAGCAAGACTCTGTCAAAAAAAGAAAGAGAGAGAGAGAGAGACAGAGACAAAGACAGAGACGGAGACAGAGAGACAGACGGAGAGAGAGAAAAATGGATTCTAAGCCTGGGACACCGACCTGCTCCTGCCAACAAAAGCAGAGGGGAAGCCAATTGCAAGTGCAAAAAAAAAGTTTTTATTTCAGTGGGATGAATGTCTAGGTGTGCAGTCACTGGAGTAAACGTCACTGGGACATGCTGTGTAATTCTTTGTGTACATTGCTGAGTTCTACTGCTAATGTTAGCCCATTTCATTCATGAAATTGGTAATTTATGACATCCCTTTTTTCTTTATCATTATTAGTTAAGGTTTGTCAATTTTATAGATATTTTCAAAGAACCAGCTTTATTTCTTTGCTTTTCTTTGTTGTTTTCTTTTGGCTGTTTCATTTATTTCTGCTCTTATCCTTATTATATTCTTTCTTATATTTGTTTTGATTTTATTTTGCTACTATTTTCTACTTTCTTGATGTGATAGCTTGAATTTTTATTTGAGAGATTTCTACTTTTCTATTATATATATTTAGTGAAATACATTTTCCTCTCAACACTGACGTCAACTGTGTTAAATCAAGTTTGATATGTTGTATTTTTATTTTTATTCAGTTTAATATATTTAATTGTTTCCCTTGAGACGTTCTCCTTAGAAGTGTGCTTGCTGTTTAGCACTATTCACAATAGCAAAGACATGGAATCAACCTAAATGCCCATTGGTAATAGACTGGATGAAGAAAATGCAGTACCCATACAACATGGAATACTATGCAGCCATAAAAATGAAGGAGATCATGTCCATTGCAGGGACATGGATGGAACAGGAAGCCATTATCCTCAGGAAACTAATGCAGAAGCAGAAAGCCAAACATCTAATGTTCTCACTTATAAGTAGGAGCTGAACAATGAGAACACATGGACACAGGGAAGTAAGCAACACACACTGGGGCCTGTGGATGGGGGAGGGAGAGGGAGAGCATTGGGAAAAATCTCTAATGCATGCTGGGCTTAAACCGAGGTGATGGGTTGATAGGTAGGGAAAACCACCATGGCACAAATTTACCTATGTAACAAACCTGCACATCCTTCACACCTACCCCAGAACTTAAAATAAATAAAAATGTAAAAAAAAGAACTAAAAAAGTATGCTGTTTATTTTTCAAGTATTTAAGATTCTGCTGTTATTTTACTTTTTTATTTTTAATTTGATGCCATTTTGGCTGGAGGATACATTCTACAGGATTTCAGTTTTTAAAAAATTCTTAATGTTTGTTAAAATCCAGGATACAGTCCATTTTGGTTTATGTTCTGTGGGTACCTAAATGTTCTGCTGTATTCTGCTGCTAGGGGGTGGAGCCTGTTTTTTTCTTCTTTTTTTTATCTCCAGGTACAATTTGCCCTATGAGACACCTGATACAGTAAGTAGCCCATCAGGTATCCAGCAGTAAAAACTAAATTAGTGGAAGGAAGTCCTGTCCCAACTGGTTTGACATATTGTGGCTGAATTTTTAGGTTTTAGTGAAAATAATAATGATGGCTTGATCTTCAAAGTTGTTTTTTTTTTTTTTACCATTTCCCAAATAGCTGGGGATTATTGTGGTGTAACCACTTAAAACTCTGATGAAATGTGGAAAGAATTTCTTTTTCTAATTGATACTTTGTGAGTGCAACTACTTTGCATTGTGCAGAGAGAAAAAAATATATTCCAGGCATTCGCCAAATCAAAAGTGCATGAACAAGTCCCTAAATTTCTTCCTGTCCTCAGATTTCCACCATAAAGTTTCAGACCAAATAAAAAATTGTTTTTTCACTAATTTTCTTTGAGGAAATGTAAGAGAAAAAAAAGAAAGAAACAAGTGTTTTGAAGGGTAGAATTTTGGCAATTATATGAGATTGTAAAATCCGAATGTGGATTAGCTTCAACTCATCAAAGATTCAAGAACAGCTACAGTTCTAAGAATGAGCCAAAAAAAAATGGGTATGCATTGAGGGGAGGGAATTAGGAAGGGAATTTATAGCCATTCAGACATTTCCCAACATTAAGCCTTCATGAATTTTGCATTGGAAAGAAATATTTATAAATTAAGAAACTCAGTATCCAGTCCACCCTGTGATAAATACTGCAATGTGCCCAAGCATTCCAATTTGAGTATGGCTTTGTGCTTTGCCAATCATAACAATGGGAGATAGAAGTAATAAGAGCCTGCATGAAGCACTGTGCTAATGATAATTTTCCCAGTAAGAACAAAAGAGAGGCCATTACTTTTAAACATCATTGAATATAATCAAACACTGGGTAGGCTTGTCTGTATTTAGATTTTATAACTCTACGGTTATAGCTATAAAGTAAAAAAGACATATTATAAAATTTCTGTCATTAAGAAAAGTATTTATTATTACAAATGTGAATTTCTCTAGACGGTAAATTCTTTGGAATTAGTTGACTTCATGTAAGTTGATTTGTTCAGTAACACAGAGTAGACTTCTTGTAAATAGGAACAAGTGTGCATCTGATCAAGATCCACTATTTTCTTATATGTATATCCCTTTTCTGCCTTCCCTCAGAATACTATCTTTCACAAAACAACACACATCTCTTCCACCAACTTCTCCCCAGAATATCGCATATTCGATCAGTGTCCACAAATGTTAGATACAGAATGTTAAATTACTATTAGGTTTGCGCAAATGTAGTTGTGATTAATGGCAAAAATCGCAATTATTTTTGCACCAACCTAATAGTAACATTGAAACACAATATTAGTTATTCAACATCAGAAAGATCTTCCAGAACAGTCATCACCACAGATGGGCCAAACTATTATTTGTAGGGCACTGCAGTAAGTTAGAATTTTATCAAATTCATAAATTAATGGATATTTTGTTAAGGGATATGAACAGCCTGTAGTATAAATTTGAGCTATACATTGTTGGGAGAACAAAATAATAAAACGATATAATAGTAGCAATCAAGTGGTGACCTTTCTGTCACACTTACAATTTTCAATGCACTTGTCTACTTATTATTTCATGTGTGGATGGGTTAGCTGAGTGGCGGGGCCATCAGATGTCATATATACAGATGACTCCCTTCTATACACCATTCTGCCATTAGTTGATGTATATTTTACTTTTGCTTTTCCCTTCCCATTTCACTACTAGATAAAAATCCTAATCTTGACTTCTAAATCACACCTAGTTTTACTCATGTGTAGTTGTACCTGACAAAGAATTACACTACATAAATTCCATCCATTAGAGGTGTGGCCGAATGGACAGAAAACCATTAACATTGATTACTTCAGTGCATGTGGGATTGCAAATGCAGATGAGAAGGAGAAGATTTTTATTTTTTCTTTATATAAGTTTACCTTATGTATTCTAATGCAAGGCTCAAGTATCATTTATAGTGAAACATTAAAATGTTCTTAAAAGTTCATGTCCTTAATGTTCTGTAAAGGAAGCATAAACTCATTTATTGCAACAAATGCAACAATTTATTTCACTCCTCAGATTATTGATCCTGATATAAATAAAACTGTTCAGAACTTGCACAGAGATATTTAAACGAACAAAGAAACAAAAAATCTAGGGAAGAAGTGAAGAAAAGAATGCTTTTTAAATTACTTAATCATTGTTGATGGACTGACAACATCCAACTTACATCTCCTGAATTAAACCTGATATTTTCTTGGAGAGTAGTGAGGAGTAGTTGAGGGTAGATAGGAAAGAGAGTGTATTTTGAGAAATGTAAAATTTAGAGAAGCTTAATTTAAACACTCCCTGTGTGTCAAAGAGCTATTAAATAAAATTTTCATGATTTTAATATAAGTGAATCTGAACTAGCATATGGTCTAAGTTTCTTTTAAGTTGCACATGGATTTAAAATATAGGGGAAAAAGATCACTTGGCAAATATGTTTTTGGTTTTGAAAAACTTCCAAATGTTTAAAAAGTACTTTTCAAATCAACCATACCCATATGCATCCAGGTTTTCTCATCCTCACCAGTGAAGGATAAAAAGAAATAGAATTAAGGCAAAATGGATGGAGAGGTGATACATATGCTGTAAAACTATGTCAGAAATATCAGTTGATTCTTTAGGGAATTGGTTAAAAAAATAAATTTAGTCCTTATGGCAATTTAACCCAAAGAATCTAACACTTATTCTTAGTGGCTTAGGATCATGGATGATATTAATCTGTCACAAGATGATTCTATGACTATTTCCAGAAGTGGAAAAGTGCAGAAATAGAAAATGCATATGATATTGCTATTTTATTTTGTTCCAAGTCTTGTCACTATTGGTGGAAAACAGTTTTCCAAAGGAATGAACATTTAGATAAATTATGGAATGAAGAATCATTTTCAATCCTTTATGCATAGATGCATTGATAATAACTGAACATCTTTGGCATCTGGCTTCCAGATACAGTGACGATTCCTTCAAGACATCTAGAAATTAAATAGATGTGCGTGAACACTTTAAAAAATGTAAATACATTAAATGTCAGTTATTTTGAAATAAGTTATTTTTTTAAACAGGAAGCATTTTTAATTAAAAATTAGAAAATAGCTATATTTGGACAATTAGTTACTCAATGTTTTTTCCAAATAACAGATGAAATATACTTTGATGTTTTTTGTTTTAAATAAATGCAAATATATGGATGCAAAACAAATCAAACATTGCTACAAATGAAATATATGTGCTGTCAGTAATTCTCAAACATTGAATAATATTCAGTGAACTTCAACACATACCTTTGGTGGCCCGTTAAAATTCATTATAATGAATTTTGAATTAGATTCCAAAATGAACACACTATTTTCTTAGCTTTTAGCGTCTGTCGTTTTTTTCTATATTCATTTTTCTTTTTTTTTTTTGACTGAGGTGGCGTCTCACTCTGTCACCCAGGCTGGAGTGCAGTAGCACAATCTCGGCTTACTGCAAGCACCGCCTCCCAGGTTCAAGAGATTCTCTTACCTGAGCTTCTCAAGTAGCTGGTTACAGGTGCGTGCCACCACGCCCAGCTAATTTTTGTATTGTTGGTAGAGATGAGGTTTCACCATGTTGGCCAGGCTGGTCTCGAACTCCCGACCTCAGGCGATCCACCCACCTTGGCCTCCCAGAGTGCTGGGATTACAGGCGTGAGCCACTGCACCTGGCTGGTTTTTTTTTTTCTATTTTCATTACTAAGACTAAACAATAGTTATGTGACTGAATACAGCTGATCATTTTACCAACTCCTTTCAGCAAATTAATTTTGTCATTTTAATTAAGTTCAAATTTAAGAAGTGAATAAATATAGATACTATAGCACATATATTTCCCAAAACATAATATAATATGTGTGTGTGTGTGTGTGTGTGTGTGTGTGTGTGCATTTGGGAAATAAAAGAGTATTATATTTTACTCAAACAACATCAAACATGCAGTCAAGTAAGTTTGATGAAGAAGATAATATTTTAGCCTAAGAATGAGAATTCTGTAAGACAATGTGTTACTTTATAGTATCAGTTATGTGACCCTTCCACACTGATATTTTGGGTGCAATTGCACCCTCTTTGCCATATACTCTTGGGAGAATAGAAGGTTCTTCACATTTTTCCATTCATTGTAACTTCTCCTGTAGGACAGCCCACAGATACATTTCCTAGACTATATTAAGGAAACAAAAGCAAACAAATATGAGAAAATAATAAAGGTAAGTGTCTGGGAGGGTGAGAAATCAAATTCAGTGGGGTTTAAACTATATCTCATACAAGTGTCCCAAAGTTGTGCTTTTGGAGAAATTCACCTTGGATAGAGACATGGTCAAGTGACCATGTCTCTTTACCTTTACCTTTTTTAAAAAACAATACATAGCTGTATCCTTGGAAGAGAGGCAAGGAGTGCTGTAGGGTGACTATCTTTGATTTCTGTTGTGGTTCAGAGGAAGTGTAACTTTCTTAAAAGATACCTTGACTTTTGTCACATTTAGCTATTCGTTCCTTTTTATTTAGGAAAAAAAGGCTGAGCCTGCTGTGGCTTGGGCTCTTATTATCTTTTCTTGGGCTTCTTGGATCTCATAAATGATAACTCTACTTTTATTGTTGCCTTCTCCAAAGGAACCTGAATACCAGCATCACCTTCATTTACCCTAAAGCATGATTCTCTGCCTAAGAAAACCCCTATGGTTGACATTTACATTTACTTTATACCTCTCTTAATCTTTTGAGGAATGCCTCTCTACCTATTCTGCATGGTAAAGTTCTAATTAATTACAACTATGAAACAGATATTTCCTTCTTTTCTTATGTTTCAGATATTGAATTACTTTATTATTGCCAAGCACAATCTGCTTTGCTAAATTATTCAGTATAAGCTTGCTTCTTCCATTAGACTTTGGAATTCCTGAGATAAGAAATTACGCTTTATTCTGAAAGTGTGCTTAAATCAATGGAAAGTTGGTTTGTCCAAACTGGATATAGAGGAATAGAGTTATTCTGTACACAGCCACTTTTAGTTGCAAGAGCAGCTAGAAATAGGAGTTATGCTACCTTTTCAAAGACATGTCCTCAGCCAGGTGCAGTGGCTAGTGCCTGTAATCCCAGCAATTTGGGAGGCTGAGGCGGGCGGATCATGAGGTCAGGAGATCGAGACCGTCCTGGCTAACACGGTGAAACCCAACTCTACTAAAAATAAAAATAAAAATAAAAATAAAATAAAATAAAATAAAATAAATTAGCTGGGCATGGTGGTGAGTGCCTGTAGTCCCAGCCACTGGGGAGGCTGAGGGGGAGAATGGCTTGAACTCAGCAGGCGGAGCTTGCAGTGAGCCGAGATCGCACCACTGCACTCCAGCCTGGGTGACAGAGCAAGACTCTTTCTCAAAAATAAATAAATAAATAAATAAACAAAATAAAGGTAGGCTATACTAAGTTAAAGATGCTGGCTGTAACCCTAGAGCCATCACAAAATAAAATAAGGTAAAATACAGATACAGTAAATAAGCCACTAGTGAAGACAAAATAGATACAATGAAATTAGAAAAAAATTAAAATCCTTTAAAAAGCCCCATTTGCCTCGATTTTCCTAATTACACAAAGGAGGCAAAGTGTGAAAAAGGATAGATCACGTTCCTCTAAGGACCCATGTCAGGTATCTGTGGAATGCAGGCGGTGCAGGAGGGTGGGAATGGGTGGGTGCCCAGCGTTGCTAAAGCTATGGAGTGTCTTCCCGTTTTTAAAGAAATCCAGAAGTGCAGATCTATTCATTCAACCATTCATTGATGTAAAATCTGGTTTCTAAGGTGTTCAGTTTGATGACTAATATATGTATACTTTGCCATCAAAATCAAACTCATTCACATTCCCATCACCTCGCAGAGCTGCCCTCTTTCATGTGTGTGGTGAGAACAATAAGATCTACCTCCTCAGCAAATGTCAAGTATACATCGCAGTGTTGTTAGCTATATTCACAATGTTGAACAGTGGATCTCCAGAACTTATTCATCTTGCATAACTGAAATTTTATACCCTTTGACCAACATCTGCCCATCTCTCCTTCCCCCAGCCCCTGGCAACCACTCTATACCCAGCAATCCCATTTCTTTGGGGATATAGCCAAAGGAAATAAAATCAATATCTGGAAAACATACCTGCACTGTTATGTCCATTTGGGCATTTTTAACAATAGCCAAGTAATAGAAACAACCTAAATGTCTGTCAATGGATAAATGGATAAAGAAATGAAAAAAAATACACACACACACACACACACACACACACAGTGGGATATTATTTAGCATTAATGAATAAAAAAATCCTGCCATTTTTGACAGCATGGATGGACTTGGAGAACATGCTTGGTGAAATAAGCCAAGCACAGAAAGACGAATAACACATTGTCTCACTTATAGGATGACACTGCATTCACGTTTCAGCCACCTCTGCCACACCCACCCATGCAAACACACCCACCCATCTCAGTTCCTGCCCCTGACTGGGGGACAGGGTGGGCGCTCTCTGGCACATGTTCCACTCATGCTTCTCCACCTCCAGCTATTTTAGGCTCTGACACTGAAAATGAAATTCTTACCAAGATGATATGTGTTGTGTTGACATAAAACTGATAGAAAGTGTACCAAAAAACATGGAAGTTTTAAACATAATCCACCAAAAGAACATACTCACAGTCGACGTTTCTTTCATTATTAAGAATGAATGTCCATAACCCTCACTAAGACAAAAGTCATCCCATTTGTCTACATTTTTTTTCTTTGCAAACACACACTGAATGACTTTGTGTGACAAGCTGTGAAGTTTTACCAATTCTTCAAACTCTTTGATTTGCATTATGCTGTTTAATCCTGAGAGGCGAGCAGCTGTCGCTGGTAATTCTAAGCCTAGAATTCCACCACCTAATAGGTGAAAATTATAGTAGGCTGATCATAAAACCATGTTGTTAACTTTTTAAAATTTAATGACTACCAAGGAATTTCACCTTAGTGATACATCTTTTGAGAGATTAGAAAATGAAGAAATGCACGTGTTCAATGATCCATTTTAGAATTTAAAAAGTCTTTCAAATGAGCAACTTATTCATATATTGTGAAGAACCCCTGGAAACAGTTATTTAATAATGTGGCTAAACGCGTATTCAGAGTAATGCTTCCTGTATATTTGCACATTTATACACTTATGTCCCGCTCCTGGAATAGACTTACCAGTTTCCTTTTCAGAAAATTTCAGAATTTCTGGAATGTGCCGAAGTACTAGTGGGTAACTTAGATTTGGAATACACTGTATTAGGTGTAACTGGAAAACTGAGAGGCTTCCTACACTGGAAGGTCAAAGATCTTTCCTGGAGGAGAGTTAAGAATTTGCCTTTTCTTACCATGACTCTGTTAAAAGAGAATATAAACAATGCAGTTTCACAAAAGGAAGGGGACAGTGGTGTAAATAAACCTCCCCATCATGTTCTGGTGGCTTTCCTGTAAGTCTTGAACGTTTTCCACTGGGTGTTACAGTCGAGAGGCCCCCACCTCCTGAGGAAGCAAGACCCCGAAACCCCGAGACGATGGGCTGTGCTGCTTTGGCCCCATCTTGCTTGTGTTGTTTGAAGGGGCCCTGCTGCCACCCAGCTGTCATTAACGCCACCCTCACCTCCCAGGAACTGCATCACTCGGACGGACAAGACACCTATGTAATGACCATAGTAAGACCCCATGTGCGTGGCTAATGAGGCAGTGCCCAACGTGGCGTGGAAGCCCTGCTAGGGAAATCCCGCCCTGCCACCCCAGATGCGCCACCCCAGACCTGCTCTCGGACCTGCGGCCCCTGGCCCCTGGCCCTTTCCCGTTGTCACCGAGGCTTCTTGCTAAGAAATGGAACTTCAGAAAACCCCCAAATATATACTGCATTAGGTAAGGGTTTCATTCTAATGGAGTCCCATGTGACCCTGGCTTTCCGTCCGGCAGCAATGCACTCCTGTCTATGAATGAGATGAAAAGAGTGCCCACAACAAGCCAATTTCTTTCAGGAGCGACTAAGACATGCGCATGTCCGGGGGTGCCTCAGAGCACCCGGGAGGGACCCAGGCCTGGGCAGGGAGAGGGGGCCGGCCCTAGGGGAGCAAAGCTCTTGAAACTGGCCTCTGTTGCCGGGCTCCTGACCCTGCCCTCCCATCCCTGCACTACAAGAGGACAGCGGCGACTACAGGAGGCGCCGAAGACGCTGCTGAAGGCCCTAAAGAAACTTCAGCAGAACCGGAACTCCCCTTGCAGGTCCAGCCGCGGGCCCTGCGCCCTCCCGCTCAGCCGAGCGGGGCCGAGGGCGCGTTTGCTGAGTGTCTGGTGGCCTCTACCCAAGCGCCTCTTCAGAGGGCTGTTCCTGCGGCCCAGAGACTGCTTGAGGCGCTCGGGGAAGGAAAAGCAGGCGCTGGTGCGCCGGGGGCTCTGCGGGGGACGGCGCGGAGCTGACTGAAGGGCCGCTGCGGTAGCGCAGGGCGCAGGAGCTGCTCCGCCCCGGAGCGCCGGGAAGGTTGGCGCTGGCAGCCTCCAGCCCCTGCCAGCCGGGCGAGAGCAGGCGGAGAAGGAGGATGCACCGTCACCTATGGCTCGCCTCCACCGGCCGGCACGCAAGGTGAGCTCTGCGTGCGCCCGGCGGGACAGTGAGGTAAAAGGGCGGGAGCGCGGGAGAGGACTCGTGGCCCCGGCTCAGCCCGCACCCCTCTCCTCTGGGATCCCGAATCGCGGGCTGCGTGGTGGGCCAGGAGAGGTGCAGAGCAGGCGGGGCGCCGCGGCCAGTCCGGAGCGCAAACTTTCCCTGGCGACTGCAGCGCTGAATCTGGGCGCAGGAGAGCGCGGGGTCCGGGCTGCTCAGCCCTGCCCGGCGGGGTACCTGGGCGCAGCGCACATGGGTCAGCCGGTAGGAATTGCGGGATGGGGGACACCCAGCGCCACCGTCGGGAGCCGTAGGAGCGAGATGGACCACCTGGAAGGCCCGGGTCAGCCCTTGGGCTCTGAGGCACGCGGCGTCCCGGCGCTGGTGGCAGGGTGGACTCGGATCCCGCGAGGGTGTCGCGCTAGTCGCGGGGGCTGCTTGAGGCCGGGGGACTTCGAGCCGCCGCTGCACCACTCGCTCCCAGCCCAGGAGGAAGGCGCCGGCTGGCGTTGCGCTCTGCTCGGACTCAGGGCAGGAGCGGGGGAGGTCTGCGAAAGCCGGGAGCGAGCCGGGGAGGGCCCGCGAACTGGAGAGGCTCAGCGCGCTGCTGCGGACGCGGCGGATGGCCGACCACGGGTGCCAGGGGAGGCCCAGGCTGCGGCGCCGCAGGGCAGCCCCCGCGCCCACCTGCCCCTGCGCGCCGGCCCTGGCGAGCCTCTGTGGAGGTCAGGGGACCGTAGCCTCTCCTGGGGTTCCTGCCTAGCGACTGAGGGGCGGCAGGAGGCGCAGCTCCGGTTTTCCGCATGCAGCGCCGCGTGCTCGCCGCCTGGTTTTGTCCGGGTCAGGCAGACCAGCCCCAGGACGCGCCCAGCCGACCCACGCATGGCAACCTGCCCTTCTTGGCAGGAGTCGCAGAGGGCTTTGGCTTCTGAGGTGGAAGTACCTGTTATGTCTCCTAATTCCGGAGTTTGCGGGGGTTTGGGCTGGCGGGGGGCTCATTGGGAAAATGCTTTTCAAAGCATTCTGTTTGGCTGCCGTGAGCACCTATTTGCCTTATGTGCATATTGAGAAATGTGTGCTTCTACTAAGGTTAGTCGCTGAGCCCAGGGACAGTGTAGGCCTGGATTTCAAATGCATTAATTAGGGTCCAGCACCCAGCCTAGAGACTTCCACAAATGCAGTAGTTATTTAGTCACGGGGACTGAATGCGGAGAAAGTAGCCACACCGTTATAGGCAATTGTTATACCCTTGTGATCCTGCAGAAAACCTGTTTCTTAAATGTGCTTCCCCCCTCTTTCTTTCTATGTACTTTCAGTGCCTTGCAGAACTAGGAGTAGCGTGCTGACTTTGAACACGTGGTAGATATTTCAGAAAGGTAAAATTGTTAGGCTTGTGGATTTGACAGATACAAAATACAGTTGCTCAGACAACTAAAGCATTTATTTTAATAATTGGACTAATGTTTCATTTGATAACATACTAAAAAATAAAACAGAGGTTGGGCGCAGTGCTCAGGCCTGTAATCCCAGCACTTTGGGAGGCCAAGGCGGCGGATTACGAGATCAAGAGATCGAGACCATCCTGGCCAACATGTTGAAACCCCATCTCTACTAAAAATGCCAAAATTAGCTGGACGTGCTGGTGTGCGCCTGTAGTCCCAGCTACTCGGGAGGCTGAGGCAGAATTGCTTGAACCCGGGAGGCGGAGGCTGCAGTGAGCTGAGATTGCACCATTGCACTCCAGCCTGGCAACAGAACGAGACTCCATCTCAAAAATAAAATAAAATAAAATAAAATAAAGCAGAGTATTTGAGACATAGAAAACAATAAATTACGATGACTCTGCACTCTGAGTAGAAGTAAAAATAAGCCAACTTGTTAATCTTTTTATGTTTCAACTTACTGCCCGGTGAGCGTGGTGGAAAATTCCTTGCGTGCAGCTGTGCCAGGGAAGGACAGCCAGCTTCCTTTCTCTAGGTTACAGCAGGGAAGGACAGCCGGCTCCTTTCTCCAGGTCACAGGATCTGCTCTGCTTGGATTTGATACGGTGGTTAGTGCAGCCCATAGTCCAGTTGCTGCAGCAAAAGTTGCTTGAGTCTTTGATAGGAGAGGACACTTGAAAGCAGGAAATGAGAAACACATTTTGATCTTTATGTAGGAACTCATTGTTCCTGACTCTCTCCTGGGATAAAGGACAGGGAAGAGTGGACTTTTTTGCACTTCTAGTTCCTTCTCCCTGTAGCTGTAGTCGTAGCAAGTAAAGGGGTTGTACTGATGCTTTTTAAGGCATATTATCAACATACAGCCATGACTTGTCCAGAGAATCTCACCTGACAAAAACTCAGAGAAGAAAGAGAAAGAAGATGAAATGGCTGGTTTTCAGGTAAATGTGTCCCAGTTCAAGGGCTGTGACATGGATAGACTGCATGGTGGTGAAGTCAGGGCTTTTAGGGTATCCATCATCAGAATAACATACATGTCTCTGAATTTTGATATTAGCCATCCTAACAAGTGTGAAATGATATGTCATCATTGTTTCTATTTGTATTTGCCTCATGATTGAAGATGTTGAGCAGCTTTTCAAATACTCTTAGTTTACGTCTTCACTAAAAAAATATTTCTTTACCTGTCTTTTAATCATGTTATCATTACTGTCATTATTATTGTTGTTTTGGTTTTTTATTTGTATGAGTTCCTTACATATTTTGGATATTAACCACTTAACAGTGGTTTGCAGATATTTTCTCCCAACCTGTAAGTTTTCTTATTGTTTTCTGTTTATAAGTTTTTTAGTTTGATGTAGTCCAACTTTTTTATATTTGCCTTTGTGGCGCACTTTTTGTGTCAGATCCAAAAAAATACTGTCAAGACCAATATAAAGGAGGTTGACCACATTTTGTTTTCTTTTAGGATTTTTAAGAATTCATGTGTTTTATTTGTCCTTATTTTGAGTTAATTTTGGGATATGATGTAAGAAAAATCATCTAATTTTATTCTTTTGCTTGTGGATACCCAATTTTCTTAGCTCCAAATAATAAAGGGATTTCACTTACTGCATTGTGCATTTTCAATATCCTTGTTCAAGATTAATTGATTTTATAGGCATAGGTTTTTTTTTTTCTAGGCTCTCTACTTTGTTCTGTAGGTTTTCGTGTTCATTTTTATGCACATGCTGTCTTGTTTTTATTACTATAGTATTGAATATAATTTAAAATCAGAAACTATAGGGGCGGGTGCGGTGGCTCACACACCTGTAATCCCAGTACTTTGGGAGGCCGAGGTGGGTGGATCATGAGGTCAGGAGTTCGAGACCAGCCTGACCAACATGGTGAAATCTCGTCTCTACTAAAAATATAAAAATTAGCCGGGCATGGTGGCGAGCACCTGTAATCCCAGCTACTCAGGAGACTGATGTAGGAAAATCACTTGAACCTGGGAGGCAGAGGTTGCAGTGAGCTGAGATCGTACCATTGCACTCCAACCTGGGTGACAGAGTGAGACTCCATCTCAAAAAAAAAAAAAAAAAAGATCAGAAACTATAATATCCTTAGCTTTCTTCTTCCTCAAGATTGCTTTAGCTATTCAAAGTCTGTTGTAATTTCACATAAATTTTAAGCTTGTATTTTCTATTACTGTGAAACAAGTTATTGGAATTTTTATAGGGAGTTTATTAAATCTATAGATCATTTTGGATAATGTAGAATTTTAACAATATTTACTCCTCCAATCTATGATAGCTTTACATTTTTTGTCTTCTCCAGTTTCCTTTATCAATATTTTATTTTTCAGCATAAAGATCTTTCACCTTAGTTGTTAAATTTGTTCCTAAGAAATTTATTGTTTTTTATTTTATTTTAAATGAAATCATTTTCTTCCTTTTAATTGGATAGTTTGTTGTTAGGGTATAAAAACACAATTGAGATTTGTATGCTGTTTTTATATTCTGAAAATTCATTGAGTGCATTTATTAGTTTAAATAGGTTTTTGGTGTACTATTTATGGTTTTTGTATATAAGATCATGTCATCTACAAAAAGTGACATTTTTTCAATTTAGATGGCTTTAAAATATTTTTCCCCAAATTCTTCTACTTAGGACTACTAGTATGTTAAAATAGAAGCATTAAAATTGGGCACAAGGTGGCTTCATTGTGACTCCTCTTATTTCGAGCAGACTCAACTGCTTTCAGAACTTTGATCTGTAGGGCAGATGCCAGGGCCAGGGTTCTGAAGCTGGGTTTGCATATGGCGGCCCTGATAGTAGGTGTGTGGATGAAGTGTGACTTCTGCTGAGTACCTGAGAGGGTTTTCTCTCCCTTTGTGGGTCTCTAGGTGGGCAGAACTGTCTATAAACTATGGTGAAGAGGGCTGAAACTGAGTCACAGACCTGCTTCAGAGGCCACAGTAAAGGTGAAAGGTTAAATTCTGTAGGTCTGCCTCCATTATCATGAATGTCTCTCCCCAGTTCTCTGTATGGGAAGGACTAATTCCAGACCATAACTGGGAGGCATTGGAGATGGTTACAGAGTCACTTCAGGATTCTCAGTGTGACTGAGTAGGATGGGTCAATTCCTAGTCTGTAGACAAGATCAGGGGTTCTCAGATTTGCCCCCTGAATGAGGGCCTGCCTTCCCAAAACAGCCCTCCTCAGTCTTTGTTTTTCACAGGGTATCATAATGCCCTCTCTAATCCCAAAGCTCCCATAAAGGCACTTTTGTCCATGGATGGCTGCAAAAGTATTGTAGCTGTGGGAAGATAAACAAGAGTGATCCCCTTATTCCAACATCCTTGCTGATGTCACTCTCCTTATATGGTTTCACTTTGTATTTTGCTGTATTACAAATTTGTCTGTTATTTTAGATTCATTCAGAACAATATGCTATAATTTCCACACCATGTAAGAAGTAAATCAGACAGGCACTCCCTATTTATTAAAATGTTCATTTGTACGTTACAGTTAACTGAAATCATATAGGAATCATTAACATTTTTGTTTTCTCAACCTATATCTAAATGATAAATTACAAAAAATTATTTCAAAATATTTGCATTGTATATAACTCATATTTTACAACATACATGGTTTTACTTTATTTCAAAGTCTAATGCTTTTCTTTGCTTCTAAAGAGTGAATTGCAGCCTTTTTATTTTCTGTGAAAATAGCATCAATATATTAATAGTAACACATTATCTTTACTGTCTTTACATAATCATTAAAAAAATTTTACTAGAGCATTTTCTTAATGTCTGTAGTGCATTTTCTGTAAAATTTTACTGCCATACAGTAGACATCAATGATTCCAAGTATGTGCGCTCCATAGGTGCACAATCACAGGTGAACTCGGTAGTTACCTAGAAAAAGGTGTTATAATGATATATCAATGTTGCATACAGAATTTTATAGGTAAATGTTTATCTTGTCTTGCAATTCCTAATTACTGTGTTTTTAGTAAGGATACATTTATAGGCAGTTTATTGTGTTTCTGTTTTACCTATGTATTATAATTTTGAATGACAATTTGCAACTCTGTATATATACTTTAAATCAAGGTGGGGTTTAATTCAAAGATGAATTAACCAGCTGTCTATCACTGTTAAATTATACATATGTATGTGCATGGTTGTCTCTATAAATATAACACCAACTTTGTTTATGGTTCATCTTGTGTATTTCTCCTCTTGGCTGATTTTTTTTTTTTTTTTTTTTCGACGGAGTCTGGCTCTGTTGTCAGGCTGGAGTGCAGTGGTATGATCTCGGCTCACTGCAACCTCTGCCTCCCAGGTTCAAGCGATTCTCCTGCCATAGCCTCCCAAGTAGCTGGGATTTCAGGCGTGCACCACCATGCCCAGCTAATTTTTAAATTTTTAGTAGACAGGGTTTCACCATGTTGGCCAGGCCTGGGTCTTGAACTCCTGACCTCAGGTGATTGGCCTGCCTCAGCCTCCCAAAGTGCTGGGATTACAGGCGTGAGCCACCGCGCCCAGCCCGTCAAATATAGTATTATTTTTTGTTTCTAGATATCCCATATAAGTGTATTCAGACAACCTGTCTTGTTGTGACTGCCTTTATTTAGCATGTTAAGATTTTGATTTTATATGTTACATATGCTGATTTTGCAAAGCTGAGCAATATTCTATTTTTATATTCCAAATTTTATTTATTCATTTAAGAAAGTTTAAGCTGCTTTAGCCTATCAGCTTTTGTCAATAATGCTGCATGGGTGTGCAAACAACTCATTTGACCACACATGTGTAGCTGTATTTCTAAGTTTTCTATTGTTTTATTGTTCTTGTTGTGTGCATTTATGCCAGCACCAAATTCCTTTAGCTACTGTAGCTTCACAATGTATTCCAAAATCAGGAGGTGTGACACCCCCGATATTGTTCTTGATATTTCAAGATTGTTGAGTCTTCTTGGTCTCTTTGTAGTCTGTATAATTCTGGGGTTGCTTTTTTATTTCTGCAAAAATAAACTGAGAATTTGGAAAGGACTGTATTGAATCTGTAGACCACTTTATGTAGTCTGGACATCTTCATAATATTAAGTATTCCCACCCTTGAAGAAAAGCATGTTCGAGGGTGTATTGTTTAACTCCCGTATATTTGTGAATGTTTCATTTTCTATTTTATTCAATTTTGGTTATAAAGAATAAGCAGTAATATTTCAATTTAAAAAAAGGTGTTAAGACTTGTTTCATGGCCTAACGTCTTCTATCAAGAATATTTTCTGAAATATTGAAAACATTGTGTATTTTGTTGGATGAGGTGTTCTCTACGCATGTTGAATTTGATTTTTATAGTGTATTCAAGTCTTCTGTTCACTGTGTATTTCTTGCTTCAATGTCATCAATGTTTGCTTTATAAACTGGAAACCCTGATGTATGATATAGATGTATAACTGGAAACCCTGATGTGTGATGTAGATGTAGATACAGGTATAAGCACACACACAGGAATCCACACACAAACAACATATACAATTTTTATAGGTTTCCAATGAATGAACCTTTGTATTATTTAATGTCTTTTTTATCCTGTAGTTTTGAATTAAATTTTATAAAATATGATAATGATTGACTTAAAGTCTTTTGTCACAGTGACTACTTCTGCTCTCATTTGGCTAACATTTGCATGGAATATCTTTTTCCATCCTGCTTTTAGTCTATCTTTGTGATTGGATCCAGTGATTCTCTTGTACACAGAATATAGTTGATGCTGTTAATACAATTTTTAGAATCTCTTCATGAAATATGTCTTTTGATTGGGAAAGTTAGTCCATTAATATTTTTAAAGTATTCTGAAATGGAACTTACTATTATTATATTAATCATTGTTTTATTATTGTAGCCATTTTGTTCCTTTTTCATCTTTCTTGCTGTCTCACTGATTTCTCTGGTGATATGGTCTGATTTCTTTCTCAATTTCTATGTTGTATTTCTCTAATATTTGTGGTTATCATGAAGATTACAAAAATCTTCTTAAAATTACAATATATTTTGAATTGGTAAGATATTCAGATGCTTAGTTTTTTTCAGTATGTCTGCTCTCAACTTTGTAAGTCACAAATTATATTGTCATATTGTGTTTATAACTACTTTCATGTTTTTGTCTATCAAATTTTGAAAATAGAATTGTTTTCTGTATTATAATTTTAATACAATTTCCTGTTATGTGCATGTCTTTATTAGAGAGTTATATGTTTTTTATATAATGTAGGTTTTTTCTAGAATTTTATTTTCAGTGGAAGAGACACCCCTAAGCATTTTCAGTAAGGCAGATATACTAGTGATGTACTTTTACTGCATTTTGTTACTTTGGAATTTTTTTTGAAGAATTTTCCTAGTTATAGTATTCTTGCTTTGAAAGTTTTTGTTTCAGCACTTTGACTATATCACTTAACTTTTTTTCTGGCCTGCAAGGACTGTGTTGATAAATCCACTGCAAATCTCAATGAAGCATGCTATAGATGACACAACAGGTTTATCTTACTGCTTGCTTCCAAGATTCCTTTTGCCTACGACTTTTAAAATTTTGCTTATAATCTGTCTTGTTATGAGTAACTTTGTGTTTATCTTAGCCAAAGTAATTTAAGCTTCTTGATATTTTACAAGTATTTTGTTTGAGAATTTCTGTCTTTATGACTTACTGTAGTCTTCAGCTCCATAATTTTTGAAGGTTTTTATAATTTTTTGTGATATTCTCATTTTGCTGCTTTCATTCAGTTGTCTATGTTCCCATTTCATACACTGAGCATCATTTAGATGGTTATTTTGAATATTTTCAAGTAATTTGTATATCTCAATTTTTTAGGGTTCATATCTGGAAATTTATTGTGTTTTTTTGGCCATGTTACTCTGGTACTCTGTTGTCATCTTTCATTGTGATTTGAGCATTAACAGAAAGCTGTCACAGTCTTTATAAAGTGGTTTGGAGTCTGACACCAATTGACCAGGCTAGAGATTCTGGAGGTTTCTAAAGCCTGTTCTCAGGCTGTGTCTACTCTGGGATTGTGTGTTTATTTTCTTTCTTCAGAAAGAAGTCAGAAGTTTACTTCTATAAGCATCATGCTGCATTGGAGAGGAAGAAGGGCTGTGGTGGGTAAATGCAACAAATTTTCCTTCCTCTACTATTTGGCTTTTGGCATTCTGCTTGCCTGGGGTGCTGCAAACTCTTGATTTTTAAACTTATCACAATGGAATTTTGTTCAGGATATTTTTGTTAAGTGTATATGTATATGAAGAAATTAGGGCCTATGATTTTTATTGTGTCATTTTGCTAATGTGCTTGACATAACTTTATACATTAGGTTTCTAACACGTACTCACCTGAATCTAATAAGTGAGGTAATTTATTTTCCCTTTTCCCAGATGTGTATTCTCATTTTATGGAAGACATGTTGCCAGAGTAAAGCACAATATATTCATCTTGAAATGTAATACTGAGAAGATATGGAAGTTATGGAAGTTGTGGCCTTCAGAATTGACACTTACGGAGAGACTAGAACAGCGTGGGTGAGTTGTGAGGGGCAGGAAGCATGTCTTAATGGACTTAACCAATTTTCGTCAACTATTCACAGTAAAATCTTTCAATGTACAAAATTTAATAATCTGATAAACAATAAACAAAATATTTGAATAGGCATTTTTCATAAGACGTACAAAGGGCAGACAGGCATACGAAAAGGTGCTCAACATTTTTGATCATCAGACAAATGCAAATCAAAACTACAATGAGATATTACGTGACTCAGTTAAATGGCTTATATCCAAAAGGTAGGCAGTAACAAATGCTGGAGAGAAGTGGAGAAAGGGAGCCCTTGTATGCTGTTGACAGGAATGTAACATTTTGAAAATTCTTCAAAACAACTAAAAATAAAGCTACCATATAATTCAGGAATGCCACTCCTGAGGATTCACTTACTAGAAAGGAAATCCATACATTGAAGAGATATCTACCCTCCCATGTTTGTTACAGCAGTGTGCTCCAGCCAATATTTGGAAGTAACCTGATGTCCATCAAGAAATGACTGGATAAAGAAAACATGGCACATATACACAATGGAATACTATTTAGCCATAAAAAATAAGATCCTATTATTTGCAACAACATTGATGGAACCATAGATTAAGTGAAATAAGCCAGGCACAGAAAAACAAACTTTCCATGTTCTCACTTATTTGTCGGAGCTAAAAATCAAAACAATATAACTCATGTAGGTAGAGGTAGTTGCCAGAGGCTGGGAAGGGCAGTGGGGAATGTAGGGGACGGTAGGGATGGTTAATGAGTACAAAAAAAAAGAAAGAATTAATAAGACCTAGTGTTTGATAGTACATCTGGGTGACTATAGTCAATAATAATTTTAATTGTACATTTTATAATAACGAAAAAAGTAAAATTAGATTGGTTGTAACACAAAGAATAAATGCCTGAGGGGATGATGGATACCCCATTTTCCATGATGTGATTATTTCTTTCTATGCCTGTATTAAAGTATCTCATATATCACATCAATATATCTCCAACTAAGTACCCACAAAAATAAAAAATTTAAACCAATTCAAAATGCCAGAATTTCTATACATGAACTATAAACTACCTGAAAAAGTCAAGTAAACAATTTTATTTATAATAACTACAAAAAGTTTACTCATAAATGTAACCAAAATGGTGAAAGATTTCTATATTAAAATTAAAAAACACTGAGTAGAAAAACTTTCTAAATCACAAATAAATGGAAAGATATTTCTGGTTCATTGATTGGCAGAATTAATACTGTTAAAATGTCTACACTGAGCAAAACAATCTACAGATTCAAAGCAGTCTCTTATCTGTATACAAATGAAATTATTTAGAATATTTCAAAAATTCTAAAGTTCATATGGCATCACAAAAACACTAAACAGCAACAGAAATTAAGCACAAATAATACAGCTGGAAGCATTACACTACCTTTGAAATACACTACAAAGCTTTAGGAATTGATACAGTATGATAACTGGTTTAAAAAGAGAAACATAGGTGAATAAAGCAGAATGCAGAGCCCAGAAACAAATTCATAAAATTTCAGGATCTTACACAAAGGTGACAAGAACACACAGTGGGGAAAGGACAGTTACTTCAAAAGTGGTGTTATGAAAACTGAGTATCTCCAGGCAGAACAATGAAATGAGACCCTCCACCAACATAAATCAAAGACTCAAAACTCTGGAACTGCTACAAAAAACAGAGTGAAAGCTCCATGACATTGGTGGGGACAATAATTTTTTCTTATTTATTTCACCTCAAAATCCCAGCAAACAAAAGTGGAAGTAGACAAATGAGATTACTTGAAAACTGAAAAGCTTCTACACAGCACTAGGTACAACCAACAGAAGAAAAATAACGTATAAATAAGAGAAAATATTTATGAGTTATATATCTGACAAAGGGTTACTATCCAAAATAGACAGGAAACTCAAACAACTATAGAACAATAAACAAGTAACTATTAAAATGGGTGAAAGATGTAAATAAACATTTCTTAAAGGAAGACATACAAATGGTAAAAAATATATGAAAAAAATGCGAGGTAAATTATCATAAGGCTAATCTAAGGTTAAGGCTAATCTAAGGTTAGGACTAATCTAAACCTCTATTAGATAACAACTCACTACTGTTAGAATGACTATTAATAAAAAGCCAAAAAAATAATTATTGGCAAAGATGTGGAGCAAAGGGAATGCTTGCGCACTGAATGTAAATCAGCGTAGCCATTATACAAAACAGTATGGAGATTTCTCAAACATTAAAAGCTGAACTATCATATGATACAGCAATATCATTATTGGGCACATATCAAAAAAATCAAGTATGTGAAAGAGACATCTGTGCTGTTATGTTTATTGCAGCACTATTCACAATAGCCAAGATATAAAATCAAACTCAGGGTTTATTATCAAATAAAATGATAAAGAACATGTGGCATACATCCATTCTGTACGAATGGATTATTATTCAGCCTTAAAATAGAAAATACTGTCATTTTCAATTACATGGATGAACATGAAGGAGATTATGTTAATTGAAATAATCCAGACACAGAAAGACAAATACCTCATGATTTTGCTCATATGTGGAATTTTAAAAAATTGATCGCATTGAAGTAGAGACTAAAATAGTGGAACGAGAGGCTAAGATATTTTGGAAGGGGATTGGGTAGATGTCTTTCAAAGAATATATAATTAGTTAGATTAAAGGAATAAGTTAAAAAAATCTGTTGTAAAGCCTGGTGACTATAGTTAATGATGACATACTGTTATGTTTTAAAAATACTGATATAGTCAATGTTAAGTGTTCTCCATCACAAAAATGATAACTATATGAGGTAAAGCACTTGTTAATTAGCCAGAATTTAATATTACACAATGTATGCATGCTTTAAACCACATTTTACATGACAATACATATAATTTTATCTGTCAATTTAAAAAATGTAGAAACATGAAAAGGTAGTGTTTCAAATAATCAGTCTGTGTCTTATTCATAAGCTTAGCAGAGTAGTATCAAAATATATAGTTTTTGTGATGTTTTTGTCATTTCATTTGTCAGTCATAAGCATAGAAACTCAGATATTTACCAGCATGTGCAAGAACCAGCACAGTGCCTGGGAGAATCCTATGTACTTTAGAGCTTTTACTTTGAGCTCCAGGTACCTGGAATTCCTGGTATAGAAGACACTAAAAAGGCAGGTGCTGCTAATGGTTTCGCCTCTGGCCCTTCTGTAAACACTGAAAACAAGTTTGCTTCCAAAATCACTGAGAAAATGTTTTAATCCAAAAGCCTGCCATTGTCTTTGAGATTTCTCTAAAGAGAATGACCTAGAATTTGGCTGTAATTAGGTGTCTGAGAATAAAAACTGTGGACTGTAACTGTGCCCATTCAAATAAAAGAAGTTATAATAATATGAGTGAGAAATTTCCCAAGATGGCAATACGAATCCGCAAAAAAGATTATTCCAAATTTTAAACCCACAAAGGTTATTTTATTTTTGTCCAAAACTTATTATACCCACTCAACAACAGAAGATTCTGCATGGAAACATAAGCGGTGGGATAAATATTTCATAGAAATTTGAATTTAAAATATTTTACTTACCACTAACTCTCCTTAATACAATTTTATTTCTAAGACATGTCTCTAATGGGATATCCAAATTTTGATTTGTTTTCTTATGTAGCACTAATAATACATGGCCCACTGGTATTAATACTTCACTTAGTCTAATTTGATATTTACCATTCTTTGTGTTATAATATAATAATGTTTAACAATGCTATCTGTCCAACGATCTAATCCATGGATACTGCGTTATCTTATCTAAATTAAGTGACAAGAATGTTGCATTTGTAATCTATAAATGACCTCAAATTCTCCAGCTACAAAGAATTTTTAGGCACATTAAAAATAATTCTAACTTGTCCTCAGAACCTGCAGAGTACTGTGTGAAATAACATGGGGTGGGGAGAACAGTGAGCAAGATGTTGCCATAAGACAGGCAAAGAAAGAGAAGGGCTGTAATGCATATGTATTTGGGGGTGAAGATAAAAAGACAGTGAAAGAAAAACTGAAGATAATTAGAAAATAAAAGAAGCAGAATTTATCTGTCTAAATTTAGAGTTAGTTGTGCAGCCTGACTACAGATTTCCTCTCTCACCATGCAAAACCAACGCCACTTCTTCACTCTGGGTGTTTTTAATCTCTTATATGAAGATACAAACTCACTCGAGCAGAAATATTTCCTGATAATTGTAAAGCATTTGTTACACACCTAGCACCGTCTTGTGTTTGTTTACTTCATACAAATGGCAAGAAAATCCCATGGCTTATGAAGCCTCCTGAGTTTTTACCTTAAAAGCATGGCTCAATAAATTCAATAATTATATCAAATATGTCTACTATAAAACATGAAAGAAACAGTAATAAAAACATTTTGCTTAAATAGAATTCTCTAATTGAAAAGATTAAATATACTAATTAAATAATAAAATTTAACAATATACTCACTGCAAAATTACTCAGATCTTCAAATTATTTAGTTAGCACCATTACATTTTACCGAAAGAGCTATAATCATTAGGCAGGTCACATAAAGAATACTTCATGAACTTTGAAAGAAGAAAATTGTATATTAGGTCTAGCATGAATAGAAGGCAAGCTAGAACAAAGGGTTTGGATGGGGAGATTCTGAACCACAAGATTTTAGAGATGAATGGAAAGCAGAGGAAATAAATTTGCTTTCAGAATCTGTGAGGTTTTAGTTTGCTAGTATATCATAAACACTCATGAAATCATCTGCTTTGTTCTGATATATTTTCCTACTCAGAATAGGTCCACACTCACATAAAAACAATTACTTCTCCAATTCTTTTATATCTGAAGTTTATCTTTAGAGTAATATATTTAGAAATTTTACACCATGTAAATTAAAACTAAAATTTTGTGTTTGTAGAACCAGAGATAACATGTTCAAAAAAATGTAGGCTGAATTTTCTAAATAGTTATTCAGAATTCAGAAATGTAGGGCTTTTGATTATACTCCTATATAATCTTCAGTATAACCATCACAATAACTTCACAGTTACAAAATAAATAAAAATGTAACACGTGGGAACAATATTCTCTAAATTATTTGAAGTATAAGGCCACTGGGAAAAAGAATCACTACAGATGTTATTCCACCATATTACTTAATGGTATAGTCTTACCATGTTTTACCTACAAGCCTGAGTAAGGTAGAATAAGTTAATGTTGACAGCAGGATGACACTTCAATCAATGCACAAGACCCTTAACATATTAAAAATATTTTTTATTTGTTAAAACAAATAAAGTTTACAAATAATCTGAGACATATCAAAATCCACTCTATTTTATTAGTTTTATGTGCATTTGGTGAAACAATTTTCTTCTAAATTTTACAGTGTTTATTAATAAAATGCAGAGGATATGCACTGAACACCTACCTCATGCATCGCTTACAACACTGTTATCACTTAACCACAAACAGCCTCTCCACTTAGATTTTCTTCATGTATCTTACATTTCCAGGTCCTTAATCTTTTATGGAGAAGTATATAAATGATGACCACCTAATACAGAAGGACCGCTCAGAGCTGTAATGCATCAAACATTGACCACATGCTTCCATATAAACATTAGGAATAAAGGCAAAGCACTAAGTTATTCGAAAGTTTAATTATATCAATACTTGCTATTCAAAACATTTAAAATTATTTTAATGCAAATAATTACACTCAATATAATTTTAAATCTTCAAGAAGCAATCTCCTACTACTTTTATCCTACATACAAATAAATTATCCAATTATTTTAACTTTGGATTATTCTCTATAATGAACACTCTGAATAATTTAACTCATGACAGGATTCATACAATTAACCTTTTAAACATTTGTCTTATAGTTTACATCACATTGATTACCCTTTTATCAGATCTCAGTAGCACCAAAAACCTGACAATGGTATAGACACTGCCCACTAGCCTCTAGACACCACGGTCATATGCCCATGGCAACGTTGAGGAGGTTGAGATGATGAAGTCCATCTTGTACATGCCCACCGAGAAACTCACCGGCAGCAGGATGTGCTGATGGCTCTTGCCTCTGCAAAGATCCTTAGGTAGAGGCTGGGGCTGTGAAGGTACCAGGATCTCCTGTAGTTCCTGAATGAGAGTCATCATGTAGACACTTGAGAACAGCATTATCTGTTTAAGAAAAACATCTCTGAATAATGACAGAGTGAAAAACAGTCCTCTGATTATGGAGTTTATTGGGAAAAGTGAACAGTATTTACTGACATGCAAATTGATCTGGGTCACATTGGAAGAAGCCACAGTGTAAAAGATCAGGCTACTACTAACAGGAAAACTGAGAGACCATGAGAACAAATGGAAGGTAAAAATTGTGGATTTCCATTTAAACCTCACCAACCAGGAAATGCTGGGGCTGATGTTGACGACCTGCAGCATGTCCAGGAGGCAGGTGGTACAAATGGAGAGGACCCTGATCACCCTCCTCAGGTAGAAAGATGCCTCATATTTGAAGTCATTCTGAAAATTCAGTGATTCAAAGAGCTGTGGAGACAAGAACACCATGGTGAGAAGGACCACCATGTGGATGAGGGCCACATGACAGACTGGTAGGTAAGTGCGCTCTGGCCTGAGATCCAGAAAAAGCAGAAAAGGAGAAGACGCAGAAAAGAAGGAGAAAAGTGTTGGCTGAGATGCCAATACCAGCTTAGAAATGAAAGGCATTTTTCATGGGAACACAAGTGCAAAGTAATCATCTGAATTACAAAGACAAACATACTTTGTACATCAAAATATGAAGTATAAAAAACATTTTGTACTTCACATCATCTGTATTATATATTCTATGGCCAAAATTATCATAAACATTATTTTTATTCCACTAATTTTTTTCTTAATTAATCCTATCATATAAATCCTTGATATATATAGTGTATGTGTGCATGTATGTATATATAATTTGATATATAATGTTGAGAATGTATTTTGAAGAATGTATATGAAAAACTGGCTCACTTTTTACAAAGCATTTCTTAATGAAGAGTGATGGTTACATAACAATAACTCACATGTTTGTATAGTTGAGCTAAAGTAAATTTTATGTTAAGGGAAAATAATCACCTAAAGAAAAAGTTGAAAAAAAAGTTTAACTGACTCACATCACAGTACTCAGTTTCTCTTATTATTTCTTTCACTTTTAAGAATGCTTATAATTACATTAGGCCCAAATCTGTAATTCAAGTTAATGTTTTTGTTTTAGAGTCAGCTGGTTATCAACCTTGATTTCATCTGCAGCCTGAATTCCCATTTCTCATATACCATAATACATGCCTAGAACCTGGTGGTTAGACATGGGGACCTTTGCATGGCATTATTCCACTTACCACAAGTCCTATTAAACGAATCCCTTAAAATAATTCTGGCTCTGTTCAAGTTTTGTTTTTATCCCAGAGAAATCTCATGAAAGCTTTATTTCATCTCAGGTGGAAATTGCTAAAATCCAGTTTTCAATGCTACAAGTACATGGACTACCTTTTTCTACTTTATGGGATCCATGAATTTGCATTAAGTGATAATTTTCTTGATGCTTCACTTTATACAGAGATACCCTTCCATGGAAAGATGCCTTTCCAAGCCTTGGAAAAACACCAAGGTCACTAATAGTAAAGATAATTCTCCATCTCTTAATCATGATATCTCTGTATGAGAACCCTTCATAAAATTTTATTGAATAATTCTGCAATTACTTTCTTCTTTGCCCTGAATACAGTCATCACTATTGTATCCAACTAATTCAGCCCGCAGCTTAGAATAATAGAGCTCTGGCTCATGCCTATAATTCCACCGCTTTGAGAGGCTGAGGCAGGGACATTGCTTCAGATAAACAGTTTGAAATTAGCTTGAGCAACACAGTGACACCCTGTGTCTATCAAAAATAAGAAAGAAATTAGCTAGGCATGGTGGCACGTACCTGTGGTCCCAGTTACATGGGAAGCTGACATGGAAGGATCACTTGAGCATAGGATCTTGAGGCTATAGTGAGCCAGTGAGTTGTGATGGTACTAATGCACAAACCACAAATATAAATGTGCAAGGCAATGAAGATGATTTGACAGTATTTTTTACCTCATACTCAGAAATTAACATCTGAGTTAGAAAACTGCTAACCAATTTTAAACCACCTGATATGGATGAGTTTACAAAAAGGAAATTGCATAGTTTATATATCAGTTTTTATTTTTTCTCCCAACACATAATCTAGTATAAGTACACATTTATCTCAATGTCCAGAACCAAACAATGGATAGTTGCCACCAAAATATACTGATGCCATCAACATGATATGGTTCTTTTGTCATGTTAAACCTAAAAGAAGCTCCAGGATAGTATCAGATTAAAGCCATAATAATCTCCATATATTAAATACTGCAGTCTAGTTCCAGAAAATAAACATGGACAATTAATATACAAATAACTACTTACTACTTATGTAGAAATCACTTTTACTAAATATACTGTATGTATTAAAAGTTATATCACAGAAAGAGGTAATACAATTAGATAAAACAACATACGTAAGAATTCTATTTTTTTCTCCCCATAAGGTATCCAGATCACACACTTTAATTCATGCCACACCCTCTCTAATGACTACTACATACCGCAAAAGAATGTATCTGCTAATTATCAAACTTTATTTTTCTCTAATGAAGGTTTTCAGGTCATTAATGCTGAGTCTGGAGAAAAGAACAGTGGCTCCCATGAACAAGGGTTGACAAATGTAACACACTTGGTTATATTTGAATTTCAGGTAAATGATGAATTGTTATTTGTATATACTCCAGTAGTTGCTTACACATATTATACACAGATATAAAAACATTGCATAGCTATACTAAAAAGTTATTTGTTGTTTACCCCAAATTTAAATGTAACTTATGTTTTCTCTATTTTATGTCACAAATCTGCCACAACTACCATAGAACTATTGTATAATTTGGGACAACATGTTACAAACATGGGAAAACAGAATAAAAGAAAAAATATCAAAGGTTTTATAAAGGCTGAGTGCTGTGACTTATGCCTGTAATTTAAGCATTTTAGGAGGCAGCAGTGGGAGGACTGAGCCCAAGAGTTTGAGACCTGCCTGGGCAACATAATGAGAACCAATCTTCACAAAAAAAATTCAAAAATTAGCCAGGCATTGTACCACCTGCCTGTAGCTCTGGCTACTTGTGAGGCTGAGGCAGCAAGTTCACTTGAGCCTACACGGTCAAGGCTTCTGAGACCCCTGATCAAACCACTGCACTCATTCCTGGGTGTCAGAGTGTGAACTTGTCTCAAAAAAACATCAAAACATGAGATGCAGCAAACTACTGAGAGAAATTCACAGCAGTAAACACCTACATTAAAAATAAACAATTCTAAATTAATAACCTAATGTTTGGCAAAAATAGTTAAGGGCTAATTAACTACTCATCACACCTTGGAGAAAGAATATCAGTGCGGCAAGCAAAAGTCATGTAGAATATCTAAGAGAAAAGACTGAGGAGTGAGGTGCCTGGGGGATTCGGGCTTTGAAAATTATCCACATATTCCTGAGAATCCAGAAGCCCATAAGCATGTTCAGGGTCAATCAAGGGACAGGCAAATGCTCACAAAGACCTACGAAGCTGTTATCTCTCATGTCTGCTTTACCTCCAAGCACTGCACAAGCAGGAAGAAAAGAAAACAGCAAAGTTGTAATCTTTCTGGCTAAGTAAACCCAACTGCAAGAACTAGTAGATTTATATTTGATGTGAGCAGGCATTTGAGAAAATCTCTGTCAAATAACTAGCTCACATGAAGCTAATAAAGCAGAGATTTTTATTGCTAAACACGACAAAAGGATGATATTTTAAAAATAATTTTGAAAACTCACCAAACAAACAAGTAAAATTTACAATAAGCAACAAAAAAACCCAACGGGATGAGAGAGAATATTATTTCAGGGTTGTTGTGATAGAAAAAGTCTAGTTTTCAGCAACAGCAATGAAATACAAAGCGTGCAAATAAATTAATGAAAAAATAATGGCCCACTAATAAGATAACAGATATTAACAGAAACAGTCCTAGAGGAATCGTAGGCATTGAAAAATCTAGAAAAAGTCTTTAAATTACCTGTCTTAAATGTGCTGCAAAGATAAATAACATCAAAAGGAAAAACATTTCAGAAGAATAGTGTCTCATCAAATAGAAAATATTAATAGAGATAGAGATTATAAACTGAAGCCAAACTCTAAAGTTGAAAATTAAGATAACTAAAATAAAAAATTCACCACAAAGGTTCAACAAAAGATTTAAGTAGACGAAAGACACAACCAGCAAGCTTGAGGTCACTTCAATTCGTATTATCCCAACTAGCAGAAATAAAAAATAATGAATAAAGATGAACAGAGCCTAAGATAACAATGGGATACTATAAAATGTGCCATTACAAGCATTATGAAAACTCCCGAAAGAAGGGAGAAAGATAAAATGGGGCAGAAAGAACATCTGAAGAAATAATGGCTAAAAAGTTCCCAAGCATGATGAAATACGTGAATCTACACATTCCAAAATCTCATTGAATTCATAGTATAAACTCAAAGAACTCTACACCAAGACAAATTACAATAAAACTTTCAAAAGCTAAAGAGACAACTTTGAAGAAAGTTATGGAGAAAAGACTACTATTTGCAATGCATCTACACTGACATTAACAACTCACTAAAAACTAGAGTCCAGAATATAATTTCTCACTAAAAACTACGGAGTCCAGAATATGATAGGACAATATATTTAAAGTGTAGAAAGAAAAAAAAAAAGCCAACAAAGAACTCTATTTTCAGCAAAACTGCTCTTCAAAGATGAAGGACATCCTTGAAGACCTTTGAAGACACTAAGAGCTATATAGATTAAAACAAATTTAACAGCTTGTCACTAGTAGACCTGGTATGCATTAAATGACAAAGGTTATCTTTTGGGTTGAAATGAAATGACAAACTAGGTAATAATGCAAGGCCATATGAAAAAATAAAGAATGCCAGTAAAAATGAGTACATGGCAAAATATAAATGCCACTATTAAAGAATATTTTGTAACTTTTATCTATTGTTCTTTTTTACATGTAATTTAAAATACTAATGCATAAAATAATTATAAATTTTTGTTAATGTCATACAATGCATAAAGATGTAATATGTGACAAAACAACATAACATTGGAGGAGCAGATCTCTATTGAAACAGCTTTTAAAATAAAACTGAATTACGAGCGGTATTAATTTAAAGTACAGTTACACAGTGATGAGATTAATTGTCATCCTTAAGGTAGCCACTAAAAACACAACTAAAGAAAGAAGTGAAAGAGGAAATGAGAAGAGAATCAAAACTGTTTTGGAAAAATACTAGAACATTAAAGATGTCAGTAATATAAGAGTTAATTAACAAAAATATACAAGACTTTAGAAAACAACTAGAAAAATGGCAGAAGTGTGCCCTTCCTTATAAATAGTTTAAATAGAAATTAACATCTACAATTACAATGCAAAGATTGGCAGATGGTTTAAAAATAAACAAAAACATGAACTAACTTTATGTTATCTACAGGAGAATCTCTTTAGTCCTAAGCTCACAAATAGGTTGAAAGTGAAAGGATGGGTAAAAAGATTCCACACAAATAGTAAGCAAAATAAGCTGGGGTGGTTACCCTTAGACAAGATAGGCATTAAGACAACATTGCTATAATTAATTGACACAGGAAATTTTATGTTAAAAAATTATAAATCTATCAAGAAGATAAAATAGTTTTAAATATGCATGTACCTAACAAAGACCCCAATATATGAAGCACAAATGGCAGAATGGTAGAAGTAGAAAATTCTCAATGTGAACTGCTGACTTTAATATACCAACTAGACCTAACGGACGAATTCAGAAACACCTAATCAAAAACCTTGAAATGAGCAAAAATTGATTGCATTTTCAGATTGTTTTCAAGCAAGCAATTTAACCACCTTGCTATTTTATGGCATGCTTATTTTTTTAAAAAAAGTTATGATGAAATATGCATAACATCATACTCAATACAAAGTTTCTGGTATATTTATAATTATGCAACTATAGCCATGGTATAACTTTAAAATATTTCCACTATCAGGACTAGACAATCATTACTGATTTCCCTTTTATGGACATTCCATTTTATCACCTTTATTGTTTGGTTTGGTTTCGTTTTTGAGATGGAGTCTCTGTCATGCAGGCTTGAGTGCAGTGGTGCGATCTCAGCTCACTGCAACCTCTGCCTGCCTCGCGGGTTCAATAGATTCTCCTGACTCAGCTTCCTGAGTACCTGGGATTACAGGCGCCCACCACTGCACCTGGCTAATTTTGTTTTTAGTAGAGACATGGTTTCACCATGTTGGCCAGGCTGCTCTCGAACTCCTAACCTCAGGCAATCCACCTGCCTCAGCCTCCCAAAGTGCTAGAATTAAACGTGTGAGCCACCATGCCTGGTCCATTTTTATTACCTCTTTATTATTGTGGTATGATTACTATTTTGTATAAATGGAATGATACACTGTATTATGTTTTGTGTCTGGTTTATTTCACTTAATGCATGTGAGGTCAGTTATGTCATTTTTTTTTTTTTTACTAATTTTTTGTATATTTTAGAAAATGCATTTAGAAGAGAATAAAAAACTTTTAAAATAACTTCCATATTTCTCAATGTTGTGCATTTTTTTCAAAAAATAAGCAAATATTTTATTTTTTTGGTTTCTTTGAGACAGATCTTATTCTATCACCATGGCTGGAGTGAAGTAACATGATCATGGCTTACTGCAGATTCTACCTCCTAGGCTCAAGTAGTCTTCCCACCTCAGGCTACCAAGTATCTGGGACCACAGCTGCACACCACCATGCCCAACTAATTTTTAAATTTTGTGTATAGATGGGGTCTCATTATGTTGCATGGGCTTGTCTCAAACTCCTGCGCTCATGAGATTCTCCTGCCTAGGCCTCCCAAAGGGCTGGGATTACAGGTGTGAGCCACCACACCCAGCCTATTTTTTTCTAAAGACAGGGTCTCATTCTGTCCTCAGCTCAAGTGCTGTGGCGTAATCATAGCTGAAGGCAGCCTCAATGTACTGAGCTCAAGTGATCCTCCCTCACTGACCCAAAGTGCTGGGATTACAGGCATCAGCCACCATGTCCAGCCTGAAATAATATTTTAATTAAATATTAAGAAAAATAGAAGAAATAAGATCTAGTGTTTTGTAACACAATAGGACAACTATAGTTAACTGTAATTTATTGTATAAAAGATAGAATTGTTGAGTAAGGTGTGAGCACCAGTTTAGGGTTTTGGCACATTCTTTACACTTGAAGAGTTTCTATCTGGTATGAATTATTTGATGTTGAGTATGGGTTGAGTGTCTGTTAAAAGCTTTGCCACATTCTTCACATTTGAAAGGTTTCTTTCCAGTATGAATTCTCTGATATTGAGAAAGGTGTGAGCTCCTGGTAAAAGCTTTGCCACATTCTTTACATTTGAAGAATTTCTCTCCAGTGTAGATTCTCTGATGTTGAGTAAGGTGTGAGCCCTAGATAAAAGCTTTGCTGCATTCTTTACATTTGAAAGACTTCTCTCCAGTGTGGATTCTCTGATGTCGAGTAAGGTGTGAGCCCCTGTTAAAGGCTTTGCCACATTCTTTATGTGTGAAGTGTTTCTCTCCAGTATGTATTCTCTGATGTTGAGTAAGGTGTGAAGCTCTGTTAAAAGCTTTGCCACATTTTTTGACACTTGAAAGGTTTCCCTCCAGTGTGAATTCTCTGATGCTGAGTAATGTATGAGCTTCTATTAAAGGCTTTGCCACATTCTTTACATTTGAAGGCTTTCTCTCCAGTATGGATTCTCTGATGTTAAGTAAGGTATGAGCCTCTGTTAAAAGCTTTGCCACAGTCCTTACACTTGATAGGTTTGTTTCCAGTATGGATTCTCTGATGTTGAGCAAGGTGTGAGCTCTTCTTAAAGGCTTTGTCACATTTTTCACATTTGTAAGGTTTCTCTCCAGTATGAATTTTCTGATGTCCAAGTTGTAAGCCCCTGGTAAAAGCTTTGCCACGTTCTTTACATTTTACTGATTTCTCTCCAGTGTTAATTATCTTATGTCTCTTCAGATGTGACTGACTAAAGACTATTATACATTTTTTATTACATCTTTGTGAGCTCTCTCCAATATAAGTTCTTCGATGTTGAGTAAGTTTTGAGGATGGGTTAGAAGTTTCACCACATTCATTAGGGTTGTAAGGCTTTTCTTGAATATGGATACTTTGAGGATTGATAAAACACTTTCTCACATTCATTACATTTGTAATAGTTTTCTAGAAAATGAGTATTCTGATGTTTACTAATATTTGAGTCATGGCTAAAATTTATCTGATTTTTATTACAAAAGACAGATTCCAAAAATTGATGTTGATATTTACTCACAGGAATACATGGTTCTGTAGGAGTAGCTGGCAGAAACTGAGGCTTCTTCAGAAATATTCTATGTTCTTCATCTCCTTTCACAGTTAAATTTTTGTTATGAGAAGTTGTCAAATATTGGCTACATAAATTATAACATTCTTTTTGTCCTTCACCTATACTTTCCCAGTTTTTCCATAAGCATAAATTTTCAAGGCCACAGCTCTCATATCTTCCCAGTGTTGCTTTTCCTAGTGTTGCTTTTTTGAATGACTCTTCTATGCCTTGCTCTGGTAAAATGCCTTGGTTGTAATAAGAATATATAGCTCAAAGTAGTAAAAATAACTAATTATTCTACATACTGAATTTAGCTGAATATACTTTACAAATCTAATATGAAATTTTACCAAGCTGAGAACATGAGCACAATGCCATAGTAGAAAACCAACAGAGGACAGAGCAAGATGGCTAAATAGAAGGCTCCAGTGATCATTTCCCCTGGAAGGACACCAATATAACAACTATCTATTAAAAAACAAACAAAAACCTTCATAAGAATAAAGGCGAGCACTCACAGTACCTGGTTTTAACCCTGCAGTACACAAAGAGGCACTAAAACAGGGTAGGAAAGACAGTCTTGAATCACTAATGCCACTCCTCACTCATGCCCTGGCAGTAGTCACATGCTATGTAGACAGAATCTGTACACTTGGGAGAGGGAGAGCACTGGGATTGTGAGCATTGAACTCAGTGCTGCCCTATCATAGCAGAAAGCAAAACTGGAATGAACTCAGCTGATGCCTGCCCACAGAGGGTGTGTTTCAACTGGCCCTGGACAGAGGGGAATCACCCTCCCAGTGATTGGAACTTGAGTTCTGGCAAGCTTCACCACCATAGTCTAAAATGCTCTGGGGCCCTAAAGAAACTTAAAACAGTCTAGGTCACAAGGACAGCAACTCCCAGGTGTCATGCTGAACTGGGCTTAGAGCCAGTGGACTTGGGGGCCACATTACCTACTAAGATACAAGCTGGGGCAGCTAAGAGAGTTCTTATACCACCCCTCCTCCAAACTGAGGCTGCACAGCTCACAGATTCAAGAGACCACTTCCATCTACTTAAGAAGACAGAAAGAGTAAACAGGACTTTGTCTTGTATTTTGGATACCAGCAAGGCCACCAGTCAGAGTTATAAAACACCCTTCTCAGCCACTAGCTCCTAATTAAAATTTCTAGGTACATACTGGACTATAAGGAAATCTGCTGCCTTGAATGAAGAAATCCGGTACTAACAAGACCCATCAACTGCTAAGTAAAGGGCCCTTGGCCTGGAATAACCTGCAGTGATAACCAGGTAGTTTGCTGTGAGCTTTCATTGAGACTCTGAGGCTTGCTAGAATCAGGTGAGACTCGGCACATTCACAACTGTGGTGGCTACAGGGAGACACTGAAAAAGGTAGAGGAAAAACTAGAGAACTTCATCTTGCAACTTAGGTCCCAGCATGGCCAAAGAGAGGAAGAGCACCAGTGGGCTCTTGGGGTCCCTTATTCCAGGTCTTGGCACTTGGATGGCACTTCTGGACCTGTACTGGGACAGAAGGGACACCACTGACCAAAAGGATGAGTACCAGGCCAAGCATCATTCACTATAAGTGAACTAAAGAGCCTTGAACCTTAAGAGAACATTGGTGGAAGCCTGGCAGTATTCCCGATGGGCCTGTGGTGATGGCAGCAATAGGATGAGGCCCCTCTGCCTGTTGAGTAAGGAGGGAAAAATGGGAAGAACCGAATTTCATGGTTTAATTGCTAGCTCTACCACAGTACAATAGAACACAAAGTAGACTCCTAAGGTTATTGACTCCAGCCCCTGGCTCCTGGATGGCACCACTGGGCTTGCCCAGAACCTGAGGGAACTCACTACTCTGAAGGAAAGGATACAAACCTGGCTGGCTTACCACCTACAGATTATAAAGCCCCAAGACCTTGAGCAATTACTGGTGGTACCAGGTAGGGTTACAGCTCACCATGGGTGTGATCAAGTGCTGTGCTGGTTTCAGGTCTGACCCACTGCAGTCCTACTGATAGCAACAGAAGACAAACTCCTAGGCAGACAGGGATGGGTGCACTGGTGAAACTCGACCTTCAAGGAAACAACAGTCTAAAAAGCCTGAAAACTGAGCTACCAGTTCCAGAAAGAATTCATGGACTAGAGTGAGAACTTCCATCCCTGTCTAACCTGCTCTCTATTGGTTCTTTGAGAATGATGCCTTTTAACCAATTGAATGGTGTCTTTTCCAAGCCCACCCATGAACCAATCAGCATGCATTCTCCTGTTTTAAACCCATAAAAATCCCAGACTCAGCCTCACAGATGGCTACCTACTTTCAGGTTCCCTCTTGCTGCTGATAGCAAGACCAGAAAACAAAGAACAAAATGGCAAGAGTAAGTCTTTATATAATCAATAACAACACTGAATGTAAATGGACTAAATTCTCCAATCAAAAGACACAGAGTGGCTAAATGGATACAAAAATTAAGACCCAGCGATTTGTTGCCTACAAGAAACACACTTCACCTATAAACACATAGATTAAAAAGATTTAAAAAAATTCCATGTCAAAGAAAACAAACAAAAATAGCAGTAGTTGCTACACTTATGTCAGACAAAATAGATTTCAAGACAAAACTAGAAGAAGAGACAAAGATGGTCACTCTATAATAATAATGAGTTTAATTCAGCATGAGGATGTAAGAATGTTACATACATATGCATCCAACACTGAAGTACTCAGATATATTAAGCCAGTATTATTAGAGCTAAAGAGAGAGACAGGCTCCAATATAATAATACCTGGAGAATGCAACATCACACTTTCAGCATTGGATAAATCTTCCAGACAGAAAACCAACAAAGAAATCTCAGGCCTAATCTGCACTATAAACCAAATGGACACAATGGATATTTACAGAACATTTTATCCAATGGCTTCAGACTACACATTTTGCTCTGCAGTGCATGAATCATTCTCATGGATAGACCATATGTTAGGTCACAAAACAAGTCTTAACACATTTTAAAAATTAAAATAATATCAAGCATCTTTTGTGACTACAATAAAAAAACCTAGAAATCAATAACAAGACAAATTTTTGAAACTATACAAACACATAGAATTTAAACAATATGCTCCTGAAAGGCCAGTGGGTCAATGGGGATATTAATAAATAAATTGAAATATTTCTGTAATATGTCACAATGGAAATACTTAGGATTTACAGTAAAAGCAGTACTAAAAGTTTATAACTAAAAGTGTCTACATAAAAAAATTCAAATGAACAACTTCATGACAGATTTAATGCAATTTCCATGAAAATACCACCAGTATTCTTCACAGAACTAGAAAAAAAACCCTAAAATTAATATGGATCAAAAAAGTGCCTACATAGCCAAAGTAATACTAACCAAACAAATAAATAAAAAATATGGGGTCATCACATTACCCTACTTCAAATTATACTACAAGGCTATAGTTATCAAAACAACATGGTATTGGTATTAAAATTTACACACAGACCAATGAAGCAAAATACAGAATCCAGAAATTAAGCCAAACACAGGCAACTAAACTAATCATCAACAAGGCATATAAAGACACAAATTGGGGAAAGAACACCCTATTCAATAAATGGTGCTAGGAAATACTGGCAAGCCACACGCAGAGGAATAAAACTGGATCCCCATCTCTGACCTTATACAAAAATCAATTCAAGATGGATCAAATATTTCAATCTAAGGCCTGAAAGCATATGAATTCTAAATGATAACATAAGAAAAAAAACTCTTCTCGACATTGATTTAGGCAAAGAATTCATGACTAAGACCCCAAAAGCAAATGCAACAAAAACAAACATAAATAAATGGGACCTAATTTAACTAAAAAGCTTCTGCACTGCAAAGGAAATAAGCAGCAGAGTACACAGACAACCCACAGAGTAGCAGAATATATTTGCAAACTACACATCTGACAAAAAGCTAGTATCCAGAATCTATAAGGAACTCAAAGAAATTAGCAAAATAATAATTCCATCAAAAAGTAGGCAAAGAAAATGAATATATATTTTTTCAAAAGAAGATATACAAACAGCTAATAACAACCTAAAAATGCTCAACATCAATAATCAAGGAAATACAAATGAAAACCACAGTTAGATATCAAATAACTCCTACAAAAATGGCCATTTTTTGTAGGCCAAAAAAAGTCAAGAAAACAACAGATGTTGGCATTGGATGTGGTGAAATGGGAACACTTAACAAAATAATGTCATTTGCAGCAACTTGGATGGAGCCGAAGGTCATTATTCTAAGTGAAATAACTCAGAAATGGAAAACTAGATATCGTATGTTCTTACATATAAGTGGGAGCTAATCTATGAGGATGCAAAGGCATAAGAATAATGTAAAAGACTTTGGGGACTTGAGGGGGAAGGCTGGGAGGCGGGTGAGGGATAAAAAACTACATATTAAGGACAGTGTGCACTGCTCAGGTGACAAGTGCACTGAAATCTCAGAAAACACACTAAAGAACTTATCCATGTCATGAAAAACCACCTGTATTTCCAAAACAATTGACACTTAAAAAAAAAAAACCTAATGACATATCTTAGAGAGCTAGAAAAACAAGAGCAAACCAAACCAAAATTAGAAGAAAAGAAATAATAAAGATCAAAGCAGAAATAAATGAATTTGAAATAAAATACAAAAGGTCAATAAAATGCAAAGTTGTTTTTTGGAAAAAAAAAAAAAGAAACCTGACAGACCTTTACTCAGACTAAGAAAAAAAAAAAAAAAAAACTCAGCAGGCAGTGGCTCATGCCTGTAATCCCAGGACTTTAGGAGGCTGAGGCGGGCGGCTGGATCACCTGAGGTCAGGAGTTCAAGATCAGCCTGGCCAACATGGCAAAACCCCGTCTCTATTAAAAAACACAAAAATTAGCCAGGCGTGGTGGTGGGCGCCTGTAATCTCACCTACTCAGGAGGCTGAGGCAGGTAGAATTGCTTGAACTCGGGAGGCGGAGGTTGCAGTAAGCTGAGATCGAGCCACTGCACTCCAGCCTGGGCAACAGAGCAAGTCTCCATCTCAAAAACAAATAAATAAATAAAAGAATAAAAGGAAAAGACTCAAATAATATCAAAGATGAAAAAGGAGACATTTCAACTCTACAACTTATACTGCAGGAATTCAAAAGATCATTAGTGAGTACTATGAGCAGATAGATGCCATAAATTGGAAAATCTAGAACAAATGGATAAATTTCTAGACACATAGAACCTAAGAAGATTGAATTATTAAGAAATCCACAACCTGAATACACAAACAAGACGTGATGAGATCCATAATACAAAGCCTCCCATCAAAGAAAAGCCTGAAATCTGATGGTTTCACTGAATTTGACAAAACATGTATAAAACTAATAGCAATCCCACTTAAACTATTTCAAAACAGAGGAGGAGGAAATACTTTCAACCTCGTTCTGTAAGGCAAGCATTACTCTCATACTAAAATCAGACAAATGCATATCAAAAAAATCTATAGGCCAATATCAGCAATAGATGCAAAATTTCTCATAAAAATACTGGCAAGTAAAATTCAGCAACAGATTAAAAGTTTATTATTCCTCATCATCAAGTAGGATTTATCTCATGGATGCAAAGATACTTCAACATATGCAAATCAATTAATGTAATATACCATATCAACAAAAGAAAGAACAAAAACCACATGATCATTTTAATTGATCCTGAAAATCATTTGACAAAACTTAATATCTCCTCATGAAAGAAACCCTCAAAACTATAGAAGAAACATACATGCAGCCAAAAAACACATGGAAAAATGCTCACCATCACTGGCCATCAGAGAAATGCAAATCAAAACCACAATGAGATACCATCTCACACCAGTTAGAATGGCAATCATTAAAAAGTCAGGAAACAACAGGTGCTGGAGAGGATGTGGAGAAATAGGAACACTTTTACACTGTTGGTGGGACTGTAAACTAGTTCAACCATTGTGGAAGTCAGTGTGGCGATTCCTCAGGGATCTAGAACTAGAAATACCATTTGACCCAGCCATCCCATTACTGGGTATATACCCAAAGGACTATAAATCATGCTGCTATAAAGACACATGCACATGTATGTTTATTGCAGCACTATTCACAATAGCAAAGACTTGGAACCAACCCAAATGTCCAACAATGATAGACTGGATTAAGAAAATGTGGCACATATACACCACGGAATACTATGCAGCCATAAAAAATGATGAGTTCATGTCCTTTGTAGGGACATGGATGAAATTGGAAATCATCATTCTCAGTAAACTATCGCAAGAACAAAAAACCAAACACCACATATTCTCACTCATAGGTGGGAGTTGAACAATGAGAACACATGGACCCAGGAAGGGGAACATCACACTCTGGGGACTGTTGTGGGGTGGGGGGAGGGGGGAGGGATAGCTTTAGGAGATATACCTAATGCTAAATGACGAGTTAATGGGTGCAGCACACCAGCATACCACATGTATACATATGTAACTAACCTGCACATTGTGCACATGTACCCTAAAACTTAAAGTATAATAAAAAAAGAAACATACCTCAGCATATAAAAGTTATATATAGATATATAGATATCACATATAGTATGATACTAAATGGGGAAAAATGAAAAGCTTTTCCTCTAAGATTGACAACATGACAGAGATGCACACTTTCACTACTGTTATTCAACACATGGCAGCTAGAGCAATTAGCAAGAGAAAAAATAAAGGGCAAGCAAATTGGAAAGGAAGAAGTCAAATTATGTTTGTTTGCAGATGATGTGGTCTTATATTTGGAAAATCCTAATTCACTAAAACACTATGAGAACTCACAATTTTAGTCAAGATATAGGATTAAAAAGTTAGCAGCATTTCTATATGCCAACAGTGAACAATGTGAAAAAGAAATCAAGAGAGTGGTCCCATTTACGATAGCCTCAAATTAAAATTAAATACCTAGGAATTAACCAAAGACGTTAAAGATCTCTACAATGAATACTATAAAACATTGATGCAAGAAATTTAAAAAGACAAAAATATGTATTTTATGTTCATGAATAAGAATCAGTATTTTTAGTGTCTATATTAACCAATGCAATCTACAGACTTAATGCAACCCTATCAAAACATCGATACTCTTCACAGAAACAGGAAAAACAATCCTATAATGCAGACAGAACCACGAAAGACTCAGAATAGCCAAAGTTCTTGTAAGAAAAAATTTTGCCTTTATGTGCCTGGCTTATTTGTCTTACCATATGATCTCCAGTTCCATCCATGTTGTTGCAAATAACAGGATCTTATTCTTTATAAGTGAAAAGTACTCCTGGGGGTGTGTATGTACATTTGCTTTATCCATTCATCTGTTGACATGTTGCTTCTAAATCTTGGCTAATGTAAACAATGCTGTGTGAAAGGAAAACAAATCTTTGGACCCCAAAATCACTAAGCTAAAGGGAAAAGTCAAGTTGGGAACTGCTTAGGGCAAATCTGCTTCTCATTCTATTCAGTCATCCCTCTGCTCACTGCAAGTCCTACCAGTACACAGGAGAAAATTTAAAAATCAATAAAAGCAAAATAATTCAATGAAAACAAAAAAGCAACTGTCATTATCTCCATAAGAGGTGACTGTGTAGGTAGAAAATCCAAATGTAACTGACTAGCTGTTAGCTTAACTGTACAAAACACTATTAATATTCCTAAATTCTATCCATACTTAGAAAATAAAATACAATAGCAAACTTCACCTGCTCCACCCTATATTACTCCCTATGTTGATAACATTTGAGATGTCTCATGTAGCTGATTTATTTAAATATTTGCACCAATTCAGATTTAATCAAATTTTACTATTATTTTTACTTCTTTGTTTTTGCCGACTATTGATTATTATTATTATTTTTTTAAGACAGTCTCACTCTGTGGCCCAGGCTTGAGTGCAGTGGCACAATCTCAGCTCACTATAACCTCTGCCTCCTCGGTTCAAGTGATTGTCCTGCCTCAGTCTCCCGAGTAGCTGGGATTGCAGGTGCACACCACCACACCTGGCTAATTTTTGTATTTTTAGTATAGACGGAGTTTCACCATGTTGGCCACGCTGGTCTCAAACTCCTGACCTCAGGTGATCCACCCACCTCGGCCTCCCAAAGTGCTGGGATTACAGGTGTGAGCCACCACACCCAGCCTGATTAGTATTTTTAATGCATTTCTTTGAATTCATTTTCTCATCTTTAGGGAGTGCATCCTCCAGTTTTGTTTTTTTGGTTTTTTTTCCCCTCACAGAGTTTACAGGTAGTCAGTAGTATATACTTCTGAATAAATTCTGTCTTAGGTTGGTTTCAGTGATAGTTTGGCTGACTGTAAATTTCTATTTCCAATGTTCTTTTCTGTGAGAACTCACTATTGATTTCTGCACTTCTTTTTGCTTCTGATGTCACCACCCTGATCAAATCAAAGTCTCTCTCATTCCTTTGAAGCAAATCAGTTTATATCATTCTGGTGATATAAAATGTGACCTTCATGTTTCTGGGTATGCTTTTTGTTTTTGTTGTTTTCCATTTATCCATTTCAACATAACATGAACTTTTATAACAAAAGCACATTATCCTTTTCCAGTTTCTGGAAGTTTTTCTCAATTATTTTTGTTACTAATTCTTTGAAATTTATTAAAACTGGCTTTATGCCAAGTAAAGTGGTAACTATTACATATGCAATTTAAATGGCTGCATAATATTCTCTAATCACTATATATGTCCATTAAAATCAAAGTGGGAAATAATCTATTCGAATCTTCTATATCCTTATCCTTTCACTTTATTTTATGTGTTCTACTTGTCCATTTTATCTAGTTTTTTTCCCTCTCTCTTCCTGCTTTTCTTTTGAATTTATTTATTTATTTATTGAGACTGAGTCTCACTCTGTTCCCCAGGCTGGAGTGCAGCGGCATGATTTCGGCTTACTGCAACCTCTGCCTCCCGGATTCAAGTGATTCTCGTGCCTCTGCCTCCTGAGTAGCTGGGACAACAGGTGTAAGCCACCACGCCCAGCTAATTTTTTTCTTTGTATTTTTAGAATAGAAGGAGTTTCACCATGTTGGCCAGGCTGGTCTTGAACTCCTGACCCCAGGTGATCCACCTGCCTTGGCCTCCCAAATTGCTGGGAATACAGGTGTGAACCACTCTGCCCAGTCTCTTTTGAATAATTTAAATCCTTCTACCCTCACCCACCAATTCCATCTTTTTTCCTTTGATTGGTTTGGAAATTAAACCTCTATTGGTTTGGAATCTTTACTATTCTTTTAGTTGTTTTCCTTGAAATTTTACACTGCATTTTGCATTACAATTTAACAAAGGCTAAAATTAAGCTAATTTTAACTCCCTCCACAAAATAATGCAAACACTGTAGAATGCCTTCACTCTGATCACCTCATTTTTGTATTTATTTTCAGTTGTTCGCTTATTCTGTCTTGTTTCCTTTAATTCCACCAACCACAAACAGAAGTTGTTTTACATACAGCTTTCTTATTGTTGCAAATACGTGATTAGAGTTTCAGATGTGTCATCTGCTTACTAGCTACTAGATTCTAACTATTCATAACTGCACTCCTTAATCTTTTCCTTTCTTGCTAACCTTCTCTATTAACATTTCTTTATTGAAACTTTGTTGGTCTTAAATGCTCTTAAGTCTTAAAGATTATATTTTTCTGTAAATGACTACCTCAATTTTATTTATTTATTTATTTATTTTTGAGACAGAGTCTCACTCTGTCGCCAGGCTGGACTGCAGTGGCGTGACCTCGGCTCACTGCAACCTCTGCCTCCCAGGCTCAAGTGATTCTCCTGCCTCTGCCTCTCAAGTAGCTGGGATTAGAGGCACCTGCCACCACGCCCGGCTAATTTTTGTATTTTTAGTAGACACAGGGTTTCACCATGTTGGCCAGGCTGGTCTCAAACTCCTGACCTCAGGTGATCTGCCTGCCTTGGCCTCTCAAAGTGCTAGGATTACAGGCATGAGCCACCACACCCGGCTCTCACCTTCATTCTTGAAATACGACTCTACAGTTCTTCATTGGTAATGATTATTGCCACTGACTCTCCTTCATGGTGGTTTGTTTCCTCTGTCTACAATTTTCCCTGGAACCTCTGCTGCTCCTGGTATGCACCACTCCAAACTCACTGAGGCCAGACTCTGAGGACACGCCCATCTTTTGTAGTCACTCTCGTGATTGTCGTTATTTGATGAATTTATTTTTTAAATTAATTAATGTATTTTTTTGAGACAGAGTCTTGCTCTGTTGCCCAAGATGGAGTGCAGTGGCGTGATCTCAGCTCACTGCAACCTCCGCCTCCCAAGCTCAAGCGATTCTTCTGCCTCAGCCTCCCGAGCAGCTGGGATTACAGGCACCCACCACCAAGCCCAGATAACTTTTGTATTTTTAGTAGAGATGGGGTTTCACCACGTTGGCCAGGCTGGTCTCGAACTCCTGACCTCGTGATCTGTCCACCTCAGCCTCCGAAAGTGCTGGGACCACAGGCGTGAGACACCCCACTGGCCATGAATTTATTTTATGGAAGAAGATAAACATACTAAAGATTTCATAATTATTTTTCACTAATGTTATACTAACAAGAAGTTACATTATTAAATAATTGCACTAATACTGGTACTCAATATTAGATAGTGGTACAGTTACTTTTTTGTTCCTCCCATATAAATTTCTCAGCTATGAATTTGTCTTGCCACAAAAGAGGCCTAAAGGATAAATCTATTCAGGCAGATTTGAGAAGAGTAGTTGACTCCCCCAAAATACACATTTTCCTATTTCAACATCATTGTTAATGAAATGAAGTGGCAGTGCTCACCTGGAAGAAAACACTTGCAAAACATACATCCAACAAAAGATCTGTAACCAAAATATACAAGAGCTCTTACTGTTCAATAGTAAGACGATAAATCACCCTAATAAAAAATAGGCAATGGTTTAAACAGATGCTTCACCAAAGAAGACATACAGACAGAAGCAAGCACAAGAAAAGATGCTCTAGATTGGGTGCCGTGGCTCACGCCTATAATCCCAGCACTTTGGGAGGCCAAGGCGGGTGGATCACCTGAGCTCAGGAGTTCGAGACCAGCCTGGCCAACATGGTGAAACCCTGTGTCTACTAAAAATACAAAAAATTATCTGAGCATGGTGGCAGGTGCCTGTACTCCCAGCTACTTGGGAGGCTGAGGCAGGAGAATCGCTTGAACCTGGGAGGTGGAGCTTGCAGTGAACGAAGATCGCGCCACAGCACTCCAGCCTGGGCGACAGAGCAAGACTCAGTCTCAAAAAAGGATATATATAATGATATAGCACTGCATATGTATCAGAATGGCTAAAATTAAAGATGGACCATACCAAAGCTGGTCAAGATATAGAGCCACTGAAACTCTCATACACTACTGCTGAAAATGGAAAATGGTTCAACTGCTTTGGGAAACAACTTGGCAGTGTATTAAAAAGTTGAGCATGCACTTACCATATGCACTAGGCATTCTACTACCAGGTATTTAGCCAAGAGAAACAAAGGAATATGCCTACAGAAAGGCTAGTTCACTACTGATCGTAGTCACATTGCTTGATACTTGAGGTCCACAGGAGCAGTAATAGTGACTAAAATTCACTGAGATTTACTAAGTTCCAGGTATTACTTTCATATATTAATTTGTTTAATCTTCATTAACATTTCCATGAGGAAGCAGTGAGGGAGGAAGGACATCTCTCTGGCCAGCCAAATTCCTGGCCAGCCAAATTCCCTTAAGTCAACCATCAATCACTTACCATCGAGGTCGAGTTCATCCTCCTCCAAGGGAAGGCTGAAGATACTGATGGCGGCTCAGTTATGGTATCTCTCAGGGAAGGGAAAAAACTGGCTTCTTCCCTAGAGAGTGGGGCCGTGATCAATGTGGCCATGATTAATGACACACATGTCCTTTTCATGATGAGTTTCATGGTGCATCGCATGCTAGCCTACAGACTGTACCTTTCCACTCTTCCTGTTTCACTTTGCAATGATATTCACTAGAAAAAGGATCTTTTTCTGCGCTAACAGGCAGCCAATCTTCCAGCAAATGAACTGGGTCACTTAATGAAGAACCATAAGTTGTCATCAATAGTGATGCAGACTTCTCAATGATCAGGTTTGCAGGTTTACAAAGACAGATCAGTAGTTCTTCGTGACAAAGAACAGTAAATGATTATGATCAAAATTGTATTCTTATAATCTAAAACACCAATATTGTCTTTCTTTTTCTTTTTTTTTTTTTTTTTGAGACGGCGTCTTTCTCTGTCACCCAGGCTGGAGTCCACTGGCGTGATCTCAGCTCACTTCAATCCCCGTTTCCTGGGTTCAAGCAATTCTCCTGCCTCAACCTTTCAAGTAGCTGGGAGTACAGGTGTGTGCCACCACGCCCAGCTAATTTTCTGTATTTTTAGTCCAGACGGGGTTTCACCATGTTTGCCAGGCTGGTCTCAAACTCCTGACCTCAGGTGACCCACCCACCTTGGACTCCCAAAGTGCTGAGATTACAGGCATGAGCCACTGCACCTGGCTAATGCCTTGCAGTACACATCTAAAGAGAGCATTTGACTTTATCTAACCAGTGCTTGACTCTGAAATCTGTTAACTGTATGTCTTCTATGTCTGAAAGTATAAGTATTTTTTTTCCAATTCCTATGCTAAGTGCTCTATTTACTTCCTTATCTCATGTGAACCTTACAAACCATACGAACGTATTTTTTAGAAATTTTCCTTGAAACTTTAAGAAAGCAAATGGCAATGTGGTGTGTGCTTTCTTAAACTTCCTTAAAACTTTATTCAGTGTATCCTCTTCCCAGCCTCACTTTTTGTGACTCTTGGCAATGACTGCATCTTTCACACCATAGAAAATAACCTGCTCTGAAACATCAACGCTCACAAGCTGGTCTTACCAGAACCTCCATGAACCAAATGCTGCAAAGAAGCCTCAGAATCACAGATGCATAACATCTAGCTAGCCTGATAACATTACACAGCTGTTTATTTTTTATTTTTATGTCTATTACTTTTAGTGTAGCAGTTTTCTTATACTCAAATGTCTAAACATTGAAAACTCAGCCAATGCAAAGCTATACAACAAACCCTTTGACAGCCTTCGCACATTTGAACAGTATTATTTTTCTTAAATGAGCCAATTCTGAGACACAAATTTCATAATTCTTGAAAGATTTTCTTCCACAATAGAAATTTTGGTTAAAATGATTTATTTGACCCGAATCAAATTATGGAATTATGTTCTAAAACTAACTGTATTACATTTATTACATCTATTGGTCCTCAAGCCAAACTTCTGCCAGCCATTTCTCGTCTTCGTGCTGTGCTCACAAGGACCAGCAGCATGTGCTAATACTGACTGTCTGCCCAGTAACATGCTAGAGTATGAGGAAGGCACCTCAGGCACATGGAGGCAATAGCTGCAACTGGGTCAAGGCACATGCCCTATTTCTTCATCACTCACACACTCAGAAATCCACAATGGGGAATATGCATTTTGCATGGAAGAAGAAAAAAATGACTCAATCCTAGCTAGGGGGATTCCCACCTCACTCCCTCACAGCACTCTCTACCCAACCACCTTCCCTCGCCACACTCAGACATGCTCACACCTACACACAAGGATGATCTGGCCACTTCTCCCATTAATTCACCACTCCTAGAAAAACTGTATTTGGCTTAAATTTATCAAGCTGTCTGGCTGCCTGAAGATTTATAGATGTCAAAATAAAAAACTAATTACAACTCGGAATACCGCAGTAGCACCTGATTTAATGTCTAAGGCAGCAGGCCAGTGAACATACTGAGAAAGGAGAACCCTCACACACTCTCCATAAAGGAGCCATGATGGGGATCAGCATGGAGGATCCTCAGAAAACTAAAACTAGAGTTACTATATGCCCACAATCCCACTGATGGGTATACATCCAAAAGAAACAAAAAACAATATATCAAAAAGATATCTGCACTCCCATGTTTATCTCAGCCCTATTCACAACAGCCAATATATGGAGTCAACCTAAGTGCCCATAACAGATGAATGCATAAAGAAATGTGGTATGTATACACAATGGAATACTATTCAGCCATAAAAAAGAATGGGATCCTGTCATTTGCAGCTACAAGGCATAACTGGGGATCATTGTGTTAAGTGAAATAATCCAGGCACAGAAAGAAAAATATTACATGTTCTTAGTCATATGTGAGAGCTGAAAAAGTGGATCTTATGAAGACAGAGAATAAACTGATGATTACCAGAAGCTGGGAAGGATTTGGCAGGGGAGGGCTCAGGAGGCTGAGGCAGGAGAATTGCTGGAACCCGGGAGGTGGAGGTTGCAGTGAGCCAAGATCGTGCCATTGCACTCCAGGCTGGGGGACAAGAGCGAGACTTCATCTCAAAAATAAAATCATAAAATAAAATAAAATTGAAAAAAGTTCCCGGTTATCATGTTGTTGAGTAGTACTTAATCAGAATATACTTGAAAACAAAAGATTCTTTGTGGTTTTTTAACTCTTGGTAATTAATCCATTTTAGGCAGTCTTAAAAAAATGATGTAGGACAGGGAAACCAATATGAAATGGGTAGTCTGAAAAGCAGTTATTAGATATTGACCATCATTTTAGGAAAGGCAGGCTATTTACCCCACTATATGCTCCCAGGTAAACTTGTCTTCAATTCCTGTTAAGTCAAACGGGAAAAACCAAACTTGCCATCTCTCTATATTTACTATCATTTAAAAAATTCTGTTAAGAGACACCAAAACATAGTATTTCGTACCTCCTTGCAACATAAAAAATTGGCTTCCCAGCTTTGGAATTCCCAGCTTGGTAAAAAATACTTAATGTTTTCAAAGCCTTGATCTCTTCTTTTTCACATACCTGATGCCTAAAAGAAAAAGAACAGGGTAACTGTGAGGCTTTGTGTTGTCTACTGAGTATGTAAAACAGTCCATAATTGGATAAACAATAAAATGCTAAAATGAAAAATTATTTTAAAAGCAACAGGCATTCTAAAGGGTAATTTGACAACATGCACAAAAAATCTCAAGATATTACTCTTTGAACCACAAAAGCACTTTTAGGACTATTCTAAGAGAACTACTGGATGAGGATATTAACCATAGGATTGTTTTTACTCATGACTTCTTTGTGTCAGACAGAAGTTTATGATTTTTTAACGAATTCATTTTATTAATCTTTTCCTTTCTAGTTTATGGATTTTGAATGGATGAAAAAGGCCTTGCTTTGCCCATGTTTTTTTTTCTTTCTGATTTATGGGAGTCTATCCTCATAAATGGTATGAAAATATTTTTTCAGATCATTACTCAGTTTTATCAACACCATTTATTGAAAGTCCATCCTAATCTTGATTTCAAATACCACTTTTATCATATATTATGTTCCCATATGTATTAAAGCCTGGTTTACTTTTTATATAGTCTGCTCAAGACGCAGTGTGCTTCTTTAACTTCAAGATTAATGTCATTCATCAACTCTAGAAAACATTCATCCTTTACCCTTTCAAATATTACTTCTTCCCATTCTCACTGAGCTCAATTTCTAGGGAACACCTACTAGACATATTTTGGAACTTCTCATTCTATCTTCTGCATCTCTTAATCTCTTTCATATTTTCCATTTCTTTGTCTGTAATGACTGTATGCTAGGTAATTTGCTTAGAAACTACCTTCAGCTATAAACTTAATTAATTAATTAATTAACAGATGGAGTTTTGCTCTTGTCGCCCAGGCTGGAGTGCAGTGGCACGATCTCAGCTCACTGCAACCTCTGCCTCCCAGGTTCAAATGATTCTCCTGCCTCAGCCTCCCAAGTAGCTGGGATTACAAGCACCCGTCACATGCCTGGCTAATTTTTATTTTTATTTTTTTTTTAGTAGAGATGGGGTTTCGCCATGTTGGCCAGGCTTCTCTCAAACTCCAAACCTCATGTGATCCACCTGCCTCAGCCTCCCAAAGTGCTGGGATTATAGGCGTAAGCTACTGCACTCTTCCTAATTTTTTTTAAGTATACATGTTTTCTTTTACACTTAGTGTATCTATGAGTATTGTGATTTGGGAAGGAGACTGTATTAACTCAGCCCATCATGCTGCTGGTACCAGGTCAGCATTTTAAAAATATTAATGGAAACAACCTAGATATCATTTGATAGGAGAAAAACATATACATGTGCATAGATAAATGACTGGGAGACTATACACCATACGTTAACTGAATTATTTCTGAGCAGGAGGATAAACAATTTTTAATTTTTTTTTACTTTCTTTAGATTTCTATATTGAGTAATTCAATAATTTTTTTTAAATAACAGAATATTGGCTGGGCATGGTGGCTCGTGCCTGTAATCCCAGCACTTTGGGAGGCTGAGGCCGGTGGATCACCTGAGGTCAGGAGATCGAGGCCATCCTGGCTAAAACGGTGAAACCCTGTCTCTACAAAAAATACAAAAAATTAGCCAGGCGTGCTGGCGAGCGCCTGTAGTCCCAGCTACTTGGGAGGCTGAGGCAGGAGAATGGCGTGAACCCAGGAGGCAGAGCTTGCAGTGAGCCGAGATCATGCCACTGCACTCCAGTCTGGGCAGCAGAGCGAGATTCTGTCTCAAAAAAAAAAAAAAAAAACTGAGGCTATTATAAAGCTACCTTCATTTTTTTAAAACAGAAAATGGGTCTCCAAAAGCATCAGTGGGAATTTAGAACAAAAATAAGATCTAACATTTATTAAACACTTTACAAGTACCAGATACTGTGCTAAGTATACTATATATATTAGAACACATAATCTTCAAAAGCACAAAAGACTGCTTTGTAAGGAAAGGTAGGATCTTAGAAAAAAAGGAGTAATAAAAACATTTTCCTAGAAAAATAGAAAAATGGCCAGGATGCCCTCAGTGATGTTAAATTTAAAAATTGTTTGTTTTGATGTACTCATCTTTATATGTATTTCTATTTACTTATTTTTTTTACTTCTTTTAATTTATATTTTTACTTATTTCTTTATTTATAGACAAGTCTCATTCTGTAGCCTAGGCTGGAATGCAGTGGTGCATTCACAGTTCACTTCAGCCTTGAGCAAACCTCCCACCTCAGCCTCCCAGGTAGCTGGGACCACAGGTACGCACCACCACACCTGGTTAATATCTTATTATTTGTAGAGATGGAGTCTTGCTATGTTGCCCAGGCTGGTCTCAAACTCCTGGCTCAAGCAATCCTCCTGCCTTGGCATCCCAAAATGCTGGGATTACAGACATGAGCCACAGTGCCCAACCTATTTATTTATTTATTTAAGACAAGGTCTCACCATGTTGCCCAGGCTGGTCTTGAACTCCTGGTCTCAAGTGATTCTCCAACCTTGGCCTCTCAAAATGTTGGGATTACAGGTATGACCCACCATGCCTGGCCTAAAAATAGTATTATATTTTTGTATTATATAATTTTCAATTAGGTAATATGAATATTCTGTACAGAAAATATGCCCTTAATTACATAGGAATAAACGTTTGCTACACTAAGAAAAATCTAACAAAGCTAAAAATAAAAATTAATTTGGAAAGTACATTATATACCCATACATTCTTATGTTTATACATTCTTTCATATATTCATATATTCTTTTAACAGTATCAATGGTTTGGAGTTATGTGTACAAAACCATGACCTATATGTAATACAACTAACAACAGGCACTTACAATTCAAGGCATATGATATACAAAGCTTTAACTTCTCATCATCAGATTTTGTTTTTTTCTTTCTGTTTTGGCAGATACTGTGAACACAACATTCAACTCACAGACACTATGGAGACCTTACTAAGCATAAGGTACTGTGAAATGTACTTTAAAAGATTCAGCAAACTACTCTCACTGTATCATCATAGAGTCAGTGTCTAACCATGAAGATCTTTTTGTTCACAAGCTAAATGCCATGAAATGGGATTCAAAACAAATGTCCACAGAAATTTTATAGCAATACTGAAGTAGACTATATTTTCTGAGCCTTAATCTAAAAGAAGTTAAAGCCATTCATCTTTATGAGGGTTCTGAAAAGTGTTATAGTGTAGTAGAAAAGTTCTGCACTTAAAACCAAAAGACCTATGAATCAGGTGTGGGATCTCACACAAGCCAGTTATTCACACTGAGTTGCATTTTCCTTAACTATCATCTGAAAATAATGTTTTCTTCATTCCCTGGTAGGTATTAAATGTGAAAACTTATGAAAGCGAGATGATAAAATATGATTTGTTACTACTATTATGGCAATCAACATATAAAACATATTCTTTATATATATATATATATATATATATATAAATAATATATAGAATAGGAGAAAAGTTGGGTCCCCAAACATGGCAATGTGATTATTAGATGCATCTTTCCTCATAGTCTTCTATCATATCTAACAAGTGGCCTAGTGGTAAACTCTGCTTCTCAACCAAAAAGAAAGCAATCTACATTTCAAGGTTGTACTTTACCTCATCATAAATTCCTCAAACTTTTAACTGGTAAGGTTAAGGCTGGACCGGTATGTATCTGCCACAGGTTTGTGCTCTGGAGGACCGAGGTATACAAGAAGTGTTGCCATTTATCAAAAGGTCATCTTCCAACAGCTTTATGATCCCTAGATATAGCAAACTACTTAGAAAAAAGTAGCAGTTCACATTTAGCAGTACACATTTCTTTAACTTGTAACTGTTGCTTTTCCTTTAACTGTCAGCTGGTGGTCCCTGTTGATTTGTAAACAGCACCCAAAAGACCTCAGGCCCATGTCTACTTCAATCCATTAATAATGCATAAAAGATTAAAATGCTCTGTGGTTTAAACTCCCATCTCCCAATTGCTTACCCTTAGCTTCATAGTCCACTACTTTTCCTGTGAATGTGCTAACCACTTTTATTGGCATTTAAAAATAATTTGGACTCATTTTTCCTTTGTAAGGAACTCCTCATACTTAGGAATTTTGTCCCTTTACAAGTTTATATAACTAGATGGAACAGCAAGTAATTTATGTTAACACAAGAGACTAATAAGAGCTAATGAAACAATGCCCAAATTAATAATTTCAATTTTTAAGTATTTTTTCTTTTTTTTTTTTTTTCCCCTGAGATGGAGTTTTGCTCTTATGGCCCAGGCTGGAGTGCAATGGCACAACCTCGGCTCACTGCAACCTCCGCCTCCCAGGTTCAAGTAATTATCCTGCCTCAGCCTCCCAAGTAGCCAGGATTACAGGCGCCTGACACCATGCACAGCTAATTTTTGAATTTTTAGTAGAGATGGGGTTTCACCATGTTGGCTAGGCTGATCTCGAACTCCTGACCTCAGGTGATCCACCCACCTCGGCCACCCAAAGTGCTGAGATTACAGGCATCAGCCACAGTGCCAGGCCAGTATTTTCTATATAAAGCTTTATTTGCATATACTTAGAGTATCACAAATGAGTTTATCATAGAATTGAAACACTGACAATATTTTAATTACTGAATTCCTATGAATTAGCTGTTCTTCAGATTCAAATGCCAACACTAATTTGAACTTCTTTGGGTCTATGACAGTTTGCAAGCCATACAAACCCAAAGAGCTAATCTGTGATTTCTTAACTTGAGAAAATAATAATAATAACCACCACTGGAACCTACATAGGTTTGTTGATTATTTAACATGACTTAACCTTTTGTTTGTATTTTTTTGAAAAAAAAAAAAAAAAGACTTTCTCTTTCTAAACCATAATTCTTAGTCCAAGAAGATGCAAAGTTTTTAAAAAGCACTATTCATGACCAATAATTTTATTGATCTAAATTAAAATGGAGAATGTTCACTATCCTCATGACTGGGAAATCTTACCTGTTGCTAGAAAGACACTGGCCAATTTTCTCCTGATTGTTCCGGAGTAGATGATGTAAAGCGAGCACATTGCCGTCACTGCTGAAGGAGAGGCTATGATTTACTGCATCACTTGTAGGACAATCAGATGCCATATCAAGAAAAAACATTAGAAAATGCAAAGTCACTAGAATTTTCAACACCAGAGACACACCATACTTATGTTTGAATTAAATTTATACGAAGTAACTTTGTGAAGCAACTGAGATGACAATTACAAATATGGAGGGCTTGTTCCCACAATGTGATTTGTCATTAGACAAAGTAAAAAGGACAAGGAGAAAGTTGGCTTTCCATTTCTGATACCTGGCTTCAGCTTCTGTAGTTAAAGAACAGCAAAATTGAGATGGATGAAACTTTGGAAAGAGGCTGGTATTTTACAGATAAGGAAATGAAGGTCCAGACAAAAGACCTCCCCAAAGATATATAGCCTGTTAGGTCAAAGCCAGTATTAAAACTTTGTTCCTTTTAACTTTCTTTGGGCCCTCAGTCTGCCAGAATATGAATCCTGTGCTGACATTCACTCTCTTTCCAACATGGCTTGTCATTCAGCAATATACCTTTTAAACTCCAATTTTCCTAAAAGAATAAAAGTCAGTAACAATTACAATGATGATAAACTGGAAGAGAGAGTTGTACAAGGCTAGCTTAGATGATAAGGATCAATTAGATTCACACTGCATGAAAAGCAGAATTCCAGACATAAATTTACAAAGCACTTTCTTATGAATTATCTCATTTTTTCTCTCTAAAAACAACTCAGGCAAAGAGTTTATCCCCACTTTACAGATAAACCAATAACTCAGAGAAATAAAGTGAAATAACTGGTTATGGAAATCCAGCAGAAAAGTTTTCTAAAATCATAAAGTTCAGTTACTCATGAACAAAATCTTACGTGTTTGCATTACTTGGTTTAAAGAATAACATTTTAGTTTAGATACACTTCCAAATTTAAGTATCACAAATATTCTGATACTAATAAAAACCTTATTAAACATTCTTATGCATTATCAATACCAATTTGGTTTTAGTTTTAAATAAAAGGAATCCTATTTCTTCCTTATCCCCATATTGTACCATCCTCAAATCCTTTATTTAACTAGACATGTCCAAAATGCCTCTTGGTTTTCAAATATGAAAATCACTACCAAATTATAAAAAATATTAATTTATTTCAAGACTGTCTTTTATAGTAAAATAAAATAAGGCAAGCTATGTCTTGACCTAGAGCAGGAAGAGAAAAAAACCTACACGGAACTTCATGTAAAACAGGTACATGGATTTATGTGAAACTGAAAATATTTGATTCAAACAGAGCAAGTGAATAAGTGGCAAGTAGCTTACCTTCAAGCTGCATCAAAGCTGCTTTTCACAAAATCATTGAAAGGCCGCATATGCTCTTCTTTTGTGAAGAGAACATGATTGGCAATACTCTGAAGTATTTACACAATAAAACAGGGTTATAAATAATCAGATTATTTATTGTATGAAGTTTATACATTAATATATTCTTTAAAAATATGAATTTTCTTGATATAATTTCTGCTAGTAGTTAAAATCAATCATTTCTCATTCTATATTTTAGGTAGTGTTTCTATTCTTCCTAATTATAATTATATTTACATGTACAAATACATATTAAAAATGTTTAATGTCTTAAAATAAAAAATCCTACAGCCTTCACTGTAGTCTGTTTCAGAATGTCTAGAATGATTACGCAAAAAATGATCCTCATGACACAAGACATCTGCTATAATAAAACGTATTCTCATGAAAATAAGGTCCATCAGGTACCTAACTAATGAATTCCTTTGTAATATAAACAAAATAAAAACACATAACTGAAAACCGTAGGGTATTTCCAATATAAATGTAAGAGGAAGTACTGTAAGAAAAGCTGAAAATTTAGTTGGAAGGGGAATTTAAGATAGCTAGATTATCAAAATAATTCACCTTTGACATTAACTTCAAGCCCCTTCCGATTCTAGGTGGTGGCTTTTTATCTAAAATCCCTGCTTCATACAGTGAGACAATGTCAGGATTCATAAATCTGAGGAACATGGCACTTCCTGCTGCACTGATACTGTTCTGAGGGAAACATTGGCTAACCCCCTAAAAACAAGTTGAGACTTGAGTATAAGGTTTGAATTAAAATAGGGGCATGGGAACAAAGAGTTCAAAGGTCAAAATTTGCACAACAACTCTGAGTCAATCAGTCCTCATGAATGACACATTTCTATTTTTTCTTCTCCCAAAACATGAGAAAATAAAGTTTCCTCTCAATTCTAGTCTTGTATCATATTAAAGTACAATTTAGGTATCTCAGAGGAAAGAAAAACCTCATGGATGAGATGGGTAGAAGAAACCTGAAAACAGATCTTCACTGTATCATCACCTATACTGCAAGTTTGAGGAGTCATGAAAACAGACCAAATTTTCACACAAAGATGATCATAATTTATTAAGATTAACAGACATGAAAGTGTGGTCAACATTATAAGGTGAAACTAAATTTTCAACAACACACCCCCAAAACATCCTATACCTGATAGTACATATTTATGTTTTGTTGTGTACCAGTTACAACTGAATTGAAGAAAAAAATGCTTGCTATAAAAAAACAAAATCTTAGATTCCTATTGAGGAAAAAAAAACTTACTTACAAGTAATGTTATTGCCTGTTGCCAGCTTCCTTTATAACAACCTACCTATTATTTGAACCATGGAGGGATGGGAATTCTTGGGCACCTAAAAGAAAAAAGGATCTCAGCAGAACAGCAAACCCCTATGTCTACCTCAATGTATAATTCTGTCAAATAAAAATAATTTAAGAATTCAAGAAATGGTTGTCCAGCCTGAAAAGTAATGTGAACCCAATATTTAAAGTGGATTGATTTTCTCTTTATAAAACATTCTACATTAAGATAAAGTAAAAGGTACCTTAGACTGGGAAGAGTGCCATAAAATGGGTTCAGCCCCCATCCCTTCCCAGTGTCCCCTGCTTTAAATCATGTTATAGATGAAAATTATATTATTTTGGAATTTACATTTTTATATATACCATATATATTCATTTTTAAAGAACACTTAATGTAACATTTTAATCTCTACAGCTATTCTTGCTTAGTGTGGCTAACTGCTGTTTAAAGTAGCAGTGATTACAAAACTGTAGCATTCCACTCAATGTTTTGTGATTCCGAGGATAAACCTTCCTTTCAAAGGATATTGGTGTGGGGGACCCAGATTTACATGCAGAATATCACGTAACTATTTTTTGCACAATGCCTCAATAAATTAATATTTCCTGTCCTAAATTCACATGGCTGACTCCAGATTAACTCTGGAATCGGGATTATTTCACTTCATCCTGTTCAACGCAGTGCTTCATGAAGTCCACATTTTAAATGCATTCTTATCACTGCTTATAATCTCAAAATAGCTTTCTGTAATCTCTAATAGGAAGTTAGTAAAAATTAGATCTTAGAGAATAAAGTATTTGTAAGCGGTGAGGTGTAACAATATAGTCCCACCTTCAGTTACACTACACACAGTTCAGGAAGCTTTCTTTATGTTACAGTGTTTATTGCATGAAGAACAACCTTAACCCTTCAATAAGGGGAAACTGGTGAAGGTGGCTAAATATAGCTGCTTTATTAGAATGGCTTTAAAACCTAAATACCATTTATTTTTAGCTGAAATATATAAATTTAGAATTAGATATAGAAGTTTTAGCTAAAACTATAAAAAGATAAAGAATTAAGAAAAAATTTGAGTGCTTCGACTATTCCAGTATAGTGTTCAACCTTCTGGGGATGAGGAACCTCTTTGAAATCTGATAAAGGTTAGAAAAATGGATGTATGCTTTCACACAAATTTCTTCACATAATTTTAGAATATTCATAGACCATCACTGCTACTGAGTGGTTCTCTTAAAACTCCCAAATTTTAATCTCAAAACAGACAATTCTCTGGTTGGGCATGGTGGCTCACACCTGTAATCCCAGCATTCTGGGAGACTGAGGCTGGTGGATCAATTGAGGTTAGGAGTTCCAGACCAGCCTGGCAAACATGGTGAAACTCCATCTCTACTAAAAATAGAAAAATTAGCTGGACGTGGTGGTGCACGCCTGTAATCTCAGCTACTTGGGAGGCTGAGGCACGAGAATCGCTTGAACCCAGGAGGTGGAGGTTGCGGTGAGCCATCGTGCCACTGCACTCCAGTCTGGGTGACAGAGCATGCAAGTGACTGTGTAAAGTGATATGTAAAGTCATGGAAAAAGGAAAGAGCCTTAACTAGTAACGGTCTGTGGAGGTAGAAGTCAAAGACATCCTTCTCCTGTCTGTCCCTGGATCTAAGGCAGATAAAAAGAAGGATAACTTAAAAAAAATTACAGATATCATTAAAGAAAAGCATATTTGTATATAACTTTTATAATTAAAAACAAATTTTAATGATCAAGAGGAGAAGTTATGAGGGCCTTGCTTCATGCAGTGTTAGCAAAAAAAAAAAAAAGAGCACTTTTATGTGAAAAGATGATAAAACTGGTAGGATCCACTTCAAAGCTAACATGTTGCCCATCAGAGGATGTGATCTCAATTCGTAATAAAGCATCCAGGAGTTTTTATAGATAGGTAGCACCATATACCTATAGAAATGCATGAGTAGGACTTCATTATGCCTGCTCCATACATTTTACCTTAAAAGAAGACAATCAGCTCTGCACATTCTGTACATAATCATTACTTGACATACCTCAGCACACACACACACAAAATGAATGATACAAACCTTGAAACAGAGTGTCATTATTTTACTGGCCAAACTGTTGCCTCAGAGGAGAGTCTGAATGGAGTCAGTCTGCCAATTCTACTTCTTTACAAAACATGTTCCAGAGCAGTTGGTAGAGTAAATGCCAAGAACCAAATAGAGTAACCAGAACTCAAGCCAGTTCATCCTGAGAACAAAACAAAATCAGGTTAGTGCATTTTTGTTCTCAGGTAGATAGCTGAAGAGTGGCAAAAACATAAACCCAAAGTTGACAACTACTTGCTAAATTAAGGCAAAGGTGACTGATTAATATTTCTCCTGAGATTTATCTGCGTATATTGTTTATGATAGATGACTATATACGATGTCTACGATAGCTGTTAATTCCAAGGATTAACCGGTGAAAGCTATTAAGAGAGGCCTAGGCTTTACCAGGAGACAAAATCTCCAAGATTCAGTTCAAATTACATCACAAAATGAAAGAGAACAGAAACAGAAGATGACAGCAAATACTTTAGTTTGATTTGTACAAGCATTTGCACAGAGCAGAAATAAGACTGATGATCAGAAGAGTTCTACTCTCTTCTCATACAGTCAGGGGAACTCAGTGAATGCTGAACATAGACTAGGTAGAGACATGACAAAAACAGAAAGACTATAGGATTTTTGAGAAATCAGGAAGAAAAGGAACTGGGCGTTCAGAACCCAGAGATCAGCCAGATTTACATACAAAGCAAGGGGGACAGGGATGAGGGCTGAAATTCCAATTACCTAAATGACATCCTTGTAACTCCCTGTAGTAAAGCAGTTTGGGGTACACTCAAGAAAAATGATCTACTGGTAAATCACTGTTTAATCACAAGAAGAAATTTATAGAGAATAGGGGTAGCCATAAAAAGATGCCTCAATCCTCAAGCAGTAACAACAACGGCCAGGATCATGGCCCATAGCTCTCTAATTCTTGCCTGGTCCCAGGATTACAATAATGTGATAGGTGAGATCTGGCCTAATAGAAAATTCCTTCTCAAAGTCATTTAATATAAAACTCAACAACAAATTAAAGCTACTTGAATTTAACTGATTCTTTATTTAAAAAATTACTGAGTATTTTCAGTGCTAATCATAGGTAGATCCTAATAAGATAATTCACAATAGTCATTTTCAAAACATTTGAACGTTTGTGAAGTAATTTTAGGCTTTAGGAAGATTTCAATGATTTGGCGCTGTTGCTAACCAATCAGTATAAAATTTCAGTTATACAAAGTAAGTTCTAGAGATCTGTGGTGCAGCATTCTGCCTACAGATAGCAATACTGTATTCTACACTTAAAAATATGTTAGAGGGTAGATCTCATGCTAGGCGTTCTCACCAAAATAAAATACCAGAGGAGAAGCATTTCAGGTGGTAGCAGCAGCAAGGGTGCTTAAGGCAGAAACAAGTCTAACAAGGAGGGACAGAAAGGTAGCTGGTGTGGCTTTGGTGAACAAGAAGGAAAATGGCATAAGATGATGTTAGAGATGAGGCAGGGCCCAAATCAGGTGGAGCCTTGTAGGACAGGATAAGGAGTTTGAATTTTACTTTAAGTACAGGTGTAACAAATATCCTACAGCTTTAAGCAGAAACAAATCTACAATGACAGATTACCTTATTAGTTATACTTTACTATAAGTGAAACCATTTTTGGTACACTAAAAAGGAAATAGCCTTTTAACACTGGAAAGGAACCACCACCCTTCTCAACGTTTTCACATGTATTAGGAATGATGTGATTTGAGGAAAATTTTTCATTAAATTAAGAGAGAGACCTAATAGCCATATGATGTTTTCAGTGTTTAAAACAAACAATATCATAATATCAAATGCAAATACAGTGCTTACATTTTTAAAAGTTGTGTAAGATATTATGGGGAAAAGAACAGCAAACTGGAGGTAGTAAACAGGCACAAATCGTGGATTCCAATTCCAGCGTTGCAACAACTGACTGAAATTAGGTTTAACTTAATTACCTTCTCAAATATATGAAGACAGCGGAGTAGATCAGTGATTTTTAATCAGTGTTTAAATGGAATTTTTCAGTGGGATGAAATGATATAGGACACTATTCAGGTCTAGCAGTGCCAACCACTTCCCTACAGCTGAAAAGTCACCTAACTAAACATCTAAGATTTCTTCTGGCTCTAAAATTTTATCAATTCATTCAACAAACATTTATTGAACAAATATGTTCTGAAGGATTTGCTATGTGCCAGGCACTTTTCTTCCCCACTTACTCTATGCACTTACCCACTGAGAACAAGGAACCACACTGGCCAGAGCCATCGCTATAGGGAGCTCTCCTTGATCACCCATCACTGTGACCAGTTCCACCAATTGCTCAAACCCATCAGCCAATACCGTTTCTGAAGTGTGTCAAATTCTGTGCCTTGTTGAGGGATTTTCATCAGAACTTCCATAAATGTAGCTGTCTGGAGATCCTTGTAGTACCCTAAACCTGATGTGGACAAATGGATGCAAATTTACTAACATGGCCTTACTGAAGTAATTTTTGCTTATCTTACAAGCCAGTTCTCTAGGCTGTGTATTTCTATATGAAACTTTCATTTGATCTCACCTATGGAGTGCATGAGACCACCGTCTATGCTGGCACTGAGTAAGTTTGACATTGCAAGGACTGCACAGTGCCTCCGTGATGCCAACCTCCGAGACATGCCACGTTTCCTGCCACCTGTTTGTGCACTTTCATCTTCAGCTTCACTGCAGTCACTCAAAAGGTTCATAAATAGTGTGAAGTATCTGAGAAATAAAAAGACTGACCTTTACATAGCAAAGGCCGTATCAACTAGAAAGCTAACCAGACATTCCAAAACTATCACATGTGCACGGTGTGACTGGCCCTGGATTAACTGCTTCTCTCCTCTCTCAGGATAATCAGCCAGGGTGACTCATTATGAAGCATGCTGTGTTGGGCATGATTATACCTGATATAGCCTAGCATACCTTTCATAACATAAGCATCAAATAGATGCAATGTTTCCTGGTAAATGTGTCATTTTTAATGTTTAGTATATAAAATTAGTGGTCCAAACAGCTTACACAATGTCACTTTTGTAAATGACTTAGTGAAGCAATCTGGGTTTTATTATAAGCAAAATTTCAGGGATCATATTATTTTCTTTAAAAATCATAAAACACAGTTATTTTCCTAATCCTAGTCCTGCATGGGGAACATTTCTTTGTTTTCTTTTTTGTTTTTTTGTTTTTGTTTTGTTTTGTCTTTGAGTGTGTGTGTGTGTGTGTGTGTGTGTGTGTGTGTGTGTGTGTGGCGGCGGGGGGCTTTATTTGCTTTTGCTTTGTGTTTTTTGGTGACTGAAATTTACTTAAGAAATAACTGTGTCCCCTTTGGCTTCCATCAATTCCACACCATCTCCTTCCTCAGGCTGCACAGGGAGACCAGCTAGAAGTGAAACTACTGCTTCCATGCTTGCCTGGTCCAAATCTCTGAAAAAAAAAAAATTAGAGACCATAAATCTTTCAGGTTATTTCACTTCCTCTCAAATAAACCTCTTATTAACAGATATAAACTTTAGGAACTACCTGTTTCATTAAACAAATTATTAGCACAACCCAAATAATTTGAATTAATATGCAGATCCTAGAATACAAAATCATCTCAAATGAGGAGAAGACAATAGTAACTTTCTACAAAGTAATCTTGGCAAAATGACTATCTTCAATCAGAAGCATGTACAATTGGCCCTCTGTCTCAGCGAGTTCTGTATCCACGGATTCAACCAACCATGGATTGAAACTATTTGGGGGAAAAAAAAGTAGGGTTTCATCTGTACTCAACATGTAAAGATTTTTCTTTGTCGTTATTCCCTAAACAATATGGTATAACAACTTGTGTTTATATAAGATTTATATTTATTAGATATTATAAGTAATCTAATGATAATTTAAAATATATGGGAGGATGTGCATAGTTTATATGCAAATACTATGACATTTTGTATCAGGGACTTCAGTCTGTGGATTTTAGTGTTCATGGAAGTGAGATGTGGGCAGGAGTTTGGGGGGTGGTTCCTGGAACCAATTCCTGACAGATACTGAGAGACGACCATATTATAAAGCTAGGCTTGGTCAAAGAAACATATGTAAAGGCTTATTATACAGTCCATAGTGTTTAATCACTTTCTGATATGTGTCAATAAGCATTTATCATTAAAGCAGACTTAATTACACTTAATTACTTCCTTTTTTTTCTGTCTCTGGTGCCTGAATCAGGAAATCAATTATTTTTTAGAAAGACCAACACAATGAGTTCCTCAAATAATACCTTTTTCTATCTAATCATAACATAAATGCAATCTGAGGCTTTATGTACCTTATTTCCCAATAACGGTAGACTATTCTTCATAAACTGACAACACTAACTTCCCAAACATACCGCTCTCGCACATTTATTTTTACAGAAAGTCTATCAGTCAAAAAAAAGTAGTAATAAAGATTAGTATCTTTACATATTTCAACCACAAAAGTTTGACATCTAAAAAATTTAAATACACATAAAATACAAGTATAAAGCTGTAATGAAGTAATTATAATTCTTACAGGAAAACCCACTAATACTTGAAGGTCATTCTCTTTTTTACCTTGTAATACATTTTACATCATCATCTGCTGCTTGGTTTGATGTTCCCATAACCCAGACTGTCAGGTATTCTACAATCTTATTCCTAAAGAATGGCGGAGAAAAGAGAAACAGCCAACAATTTTTTTGAAGCCACACACACACACACACCTTTAATTGTGTAAGATTTCTTACAGTGCAAATAATTTGGCAGATAACCCAGGTGACATGACGACTTTATAAAAGAGATACTGATGTCACAGACGTAAAAGCCAGAAGGGAACAAGCAACGTGGATATTTAACCTCCAACATGGCCCTTATTTATGGTATCAAATTGGAAACAGAATCAAATTCTTAGCTCAAGTACAGCACAGTTTTAGAAAAATGGAGGCTTGCCACAGGCACAAAGCTTACGGAAATTTGAGGAGAGACGTAGAGAAACACAAACGTGTAAATTGCTCTCTTTTTATGTCTTCCTTCCTACCAATAACCAGATATCTACTCTATTTCTGTACTTCATTCAACAAATTAAGATTTACAAGACCCTACATTGCTCTTTTGAGAACTCACCTAAATTTCATCTCTTGGCAAAATAAGAGGTCATCTCTCCTTGCCATCGTTACTTCAACCAACTGACACAGTTTCGTTTTTATTTGAATTGCATGGACCATATTCCCAAGCACACGAACATACCTATACAGACACAGAGACGATAAAAAAATTATCAGATATAGACAAAAGAGAAAGCATTCAAAGTACTTTAGTCATCAAATAAAATGAACTACATGTAAGTCTGAAAACAATATTTATTTTTATGAGAACATACACACCTTCTGGTTACCTGACTGTCACACCCTAGTTTGTGTGCAGTAAAGAATGGCAAATTATTTTATCAATTACTACCAATATCAATGTGTAAGAGGTTTTTCTGATCTCTTAAAGTATGTTTCTGCTACATTTCAGTAGAACGCTTACCTGACCAGATATAACATCATTGGTTCAATGCTAGCTTGCCCTAGATGTTCAGAGCTGCCTTCAGTATGATTATCTAGCAAGTTCTTCATTATAGCTATGGTTTGCTCTACAAATTGAGTGTTGGTATCCGTCAATAAAACCTATAGAAAGAACAAATATATTAATCATTTGCCATCAATGCCCAGAAGACAGACCTCTAGAGAGATGCAACCGACTGATCTAAACACACAAACACAGAAGTGCACCCACAGGCACACAGCCAAACAAGCATACAGATACATGCAGACACTCATACCCATACACAAGGCAGGTATACCCTCAGGCACACATACACACCAGAGTTCCTAAGAAGCAAGCTGACCCCTACATTGAGATGACTCTTCTTTCTGCAATTTTTTGGCAATTTTTAAAAACTGTGAGCACCTAATTTAAATAATTGGAAAGAAAAAGCCTTCCTTATTTCAAACAAGGTGAAAAATAAAAAAGAGCACACTTTACCTGTCCTTGGGAGTCAAAAAACTTGCTGATGGCATTCTTCAGTTTGTTAAATAGCATCAGATAAAGAGCAGGACTCAATTCTAGACCCACCAGTTCCTTAACATTGGCCTGTATTTGAAGTCCCACTTTCTCATGGTTACACACCATTAAGGACAACAGCTGATCCATACATTTGCTGACAGGTGTACCTGCGTTTCCCTCTGAGGACATCACTGAAATCATGGAACCCTGACATTCACTGACTGGACCCATGGGTGGGCTATAGGTTGCCAGGCCAGAATTACTTCTCTGCTGGAGGCACACTCCCCCAAGGGCACAAAGGAAGCCAGTCATGTTGATCCATTCCTGTAGGGAGTCTGTGTCAGACAAATCTGCGCATCCTCCTCCACTCAGATGGGACATTCGACTCCTAACAATGGTCATGTGAAACTTTCAGCAGCCTAAACACAAAATTTTTGGGCAAAGCATGAATTAAACCTAAATTAGTTGAGACTTGACAAATTACTCTTTATCCAACATTTCTTCCATGACAAAAGTACAAAAAATGTAAAAAACACATTAAAATCAACCCCAAAAATTACCATATACATTTTTAAAGAGCCACTGATTTATTTTTGTCATACACTAATATAATCGCCCAAGTATCAAATTTCTTTTAAAAAGCTTTGATTTCACATGGATGAACCTTGGAAACGTTATGCTAAGTGAAAGAAGCTAATCACAAAAGCCCACATATTCTAAAATTCCATTTACAGAAAAGATCCAGCAGAGACAAATCTGCAGAGACAGAAAGTAGATTCAAGGTTGCCTAGGGCTGGAGAAGCCGGGGGAAGAGAGACAAGAAAGTGGCGGGGAGGTGGGGTAGGGTGTTAGAGGCAGAAATAGCTAAAGGATACAGGGGTTTTTTTCCTCAATTGATGAAATTGTTCTAAAACGGACTGTGGTAATGGTTGCACAACTCTGGGAATATACTAAAAACAGCCACTGAATTGGACACTTTAAATGGGTGAATTGTATGGTATATTAAACAGTTATCCCCCCAAAAGCTTTCATTCTAAAGCTACATGTCCCCTCCAAATAAAGCTATTAGGTACACAATTTTGCTTCATAAAAACATAACATTTTTCTTATTGTAATTAAGTATGACAGAAAAAAACATGGGGGAATAACCAGTTTATATAAATTGCCTAATAATGGGAGGAATATGAACATTACAAATCAATTACACACAAACACCAACTCATCAATTTCCAGAGTAACAGATAATATAGTCAATAGTAATAGTTGAATGAACTGTCCACATTTTAAAATCTCATTTAATCTATGGGTTCAATCTTTTGCCCAAGACATTCCTTAATTAGAATACTTAACAAAATAGCAAAATGAATTGTTTCCATGTTTTTTTTCTCTACCTCTGTTGCTCCTTTTCTGAAAATTCTGTGAAACACCCTGATGAAGGGATAAAGAGCAAGAAAAGATAAATGGTCTCTGCAACAGTCTCTAGCAGTGCTGCCCAGTATTTCTGTGATGATGGAAACATTTTCTCTCTCTGCTGTCCAGACTGTCATATGTGGCTACTGGGTACTTGCAATGTGGCTACTATATGATTGAGGAACTAAATTGTATTTAATTTTCATTATGTTAAAATTTAAATAGTCACACGTAGCTAGTGGCTACCATATTACGAAGTACAGGTCTAGATAAACCACAACTAAATATCAGTCTTCAGACAACTATATGCTTACTTTACTGAGTGACTCGTGAGAGATTACCAAAGAGAAGGACATATATTTAGCAGATCAGTTAATAGACAAAAGTCAACTTTACAGACTTACCTGGCTGTCATCCATTTTGGCTTTTGGATAGTTAAAGATTAGTTTTGTTGCTTGTTCCCATTTTGCATGTGTATCTTCCCAAGCCTAAAATGAAGGCAATTATCACTTGAAAGCAACTTTAAGTCTAGAGCTAAACGTCAACCAGCAATGGCCAAGTTTCAAACTTGATGTATAATAAGTACTCAGATATTACACTTCTAACACGCACATATCTTGGATTTACTTCAAAAGCTATTCCTGATTACACATATGTAACAATAGGTTTCCAAAATTGAGGGTGGGCGCCTAGGAGGGGTGTTTCTCTTGCTAAGAGCACACCTCAGTGTTTCCTGCAGTGGGATGCTAAGTGCGCCTCCGCAGTGCCATCACTCTTTCTGAAGTGCTGCTGTTCCTAAGCAAATACAACAGCCAATCAAGTCACTGCACTTAGAGCCCTGCCTGCCCATGGAGAACCTCATAAGCCCTACCCAAAAGGCAGAGTAGGAGGAGCAGAGCAAATGCCTCAAATGATAAAGCCAAAAACTTCCTTTCACTAACCTCACAGGAAAGGTACTTATCTTAAACTCTACAATGTCCACAGCACAAAATAGCTATTCCCACCTATAATTTACTCAAAACATATGCCAATGTGCATAAAACTTCACTATCTACAACTTAGGTGGGGTAAATTATATGATCACAACTGATAGTAACATATACTGCCAGTTATTTTTAAAACATATAGCATATTAAAAACTCACTGGGAGACTATTTCAAATGCTTTTTCTTTTCATCTTTGTTTCATTTCTTTGTTCAGAAAAGGATTTCAAGTAAGCTACTTGAATCTCCCCTGTAAACTTACAAAGTAGTAACCTTAAATACATTCTCACAATTAGATGCCACGTGCTTCAGGCAGGTTGAGTAAAAAAACCACTATTCACATTTACCTGTTGACATCACATTGCTGACAGAGGCAAACTCCATGAATGTGCTACAGTTGGGCAAGAGGTGATGCACTGACACTTCATCCACCCCACACCAGGTATCTGCTTCCTCACAGAGGTGGCGGAAACAGGACATGGCAACCAGAACAGCTTCACTGTCAGGGTTCCACAGAAACATGTACAGCGCCACACTTCTAGTTTGGTCTGCCCTTGTTGGCAAATCGGGGAGGGGGGGCGGGGGCGGTTGCGCTTCATCCTGCTGCACTATCCTGAGAGTCAAAGTTGTAAGACATATATTTGCAACTTGGGTAATTTTATGTATAAAACCCAACAATGCAATAAACTGCGTGTGTGTGTGTGTGTGTGTGTGTGTGTGTCTCAGCATACAATAACTCACAAGAGTTTTCTCCTTTAATCATCACAGGAATTTTTCAAACCCTCAAATATCTTGTCCAAATGAGAAATGAGATTATCTGGACCAACATAAAGCTACTCTCTGTCCAATTTCAAATCAAATAGGTATTATCCTATTCCAGATTCCAGAAACATAAACTGATTCTAACATAAACAGGTAAAACACTGTAACATAAATCTGCTGCAGTAATGATATAATGTACTTACCAGTCAATTAGAAATGACAAAAAAAGAAGTAGGCTGGGCATGGTGGCTCATGCCTGTAATCCTAGCACTTTGGGAGGCCGAGGTGGGCGGATCACGAGGTTGGGAGATCGAGACCATCCTGGGCTAACATGGTGAAACCCCGTCTCTACTAAAAACATAAAAAAACAATTAGCCGGCCGTGGTGGCGGGCACCTGTAGTCCCAGTTACTCAGGAGAGGCTGAGTCAGGAGAATGGTGTGAACCTGGGAGGCGGAACTTGCAGTGAGCGGAGATCGTGCCACTGCACTCCAGCCTGGGCGACAGAGTAAGACTCTGTCTCAAAAAAAAAAAAAAAAAAAAAAGAAAGCCTAGGTTTTAAAGACCAATAAAATAGTAAACGTGAACGAGGAAAAAAAGAAATGAGGAAACAGTTACAAACATAGATACTGAAGGTAATTATATGATAATATAGAAATAAAATACAGCCTTTAATTGTACAAGTAAAATATATAAATATTATATACAACTCTGCACTGATAAAATTGAAAAACATGTTTTGTAGGAAAGAACAAACCATGAAAAGTGACTTTAAAAATAATAGAAATTCTTCAAAAAATTAAAAATAGAATAACCATATGATCCAGCAATTCCGCTTCTGGATGTATATTCGGAAGAATGAAAGCAGGGCCTTGAAGTTACTGGCACACCCATGTTCATAGTAGCATTATTTATAATAGTCAAAAGGTGGAAACAACCGAAAAATCCATTGACAGATACATTTAGATCAACAAAATGTTGGTATATACATACGATATCATTCAGCTTTCAAGAGGAAGGAAATCCTGACATGCTACAACAAGATGAACACTATTTCAGCCATAAAGAATGAAATCCTGCCTTTCAAGGCAACATGAATGGAACTGGAGGACATTATGCTAAGTAAAATAAGCCCATGTCAAAAAGACAAATACTGTATGATTCCACTTATGTGACATAGTGAAATTCAGAGAGACAGAAAGTAGAAGGATGGTTGCAGGAATTGCAGGTAGGAAAGAATGGAGAGCAGTTGAATAGACACAGAATTTGTTTTGCACGATGAAAAGGTTTTGGAGATTGGTTGCACAACAATGTGAAAGATAGTGCTACTAAACTGTGTACTTAAAAATGGCTAAGATGGTAAATTTTATGTTATATGTATTCTACCGCATAAAAAATTTTAAAGAGAGACAGAAAAACTACATAGATCCATAAGGCAGCTCAAATAAAAGGATTAAAGAGTTATTTTAAGTAGACAATAGATAAGCTAGTTCTAGAAACAGCATAAGAAACCAGTAGCAGTACTTGACTTAGGAAGAAAAGTATAAACTGAAGGTCAAGAGGGAGTAGGAAGCTTACTTTTCCACTGAATTCCCTTCCTGATGTATAGTGAAAATTTCCATTATGTCAATTTATTTTTTTCTTTAAAACTAATAAGCAAAAGTCAAAGGAAATCTTAAGAGCTTCTAAACTTGATGATTTTACAATGAATTTCTATCTAATCAGATAATTTCTATTACTTAAATTATTCCAGACCATAGAAAAGAGTAATAGTTCCCAAATTCATATTCTAATTTAGCACAAATAAGTGTTAGAATAACTACTTTCAAAAGTGATAATGCATATTTTGTTAAATATACACATGTTCTAAGAATCAGAAAGCTGAAACACTGGAAGGAAATGTTTCATTAAGTAGCTACCCAGTACATTTGCCAATAGCCAACCAAATTTACCTCACGCACACACACAAATCAACATACTAAAAGTAAGGATTTCCAAACATATTTCCACTCCAAATTTAAAGTGAAAGTTTAAATAACATATAAACCATCTGACTGGATACAATTCAGCCCTAAAGCTAGAGTTCAGGGCCCCTTATCTTTTGTTCATTATTAATTTTAAAATTTTTGATGTATTTATTAGTATTTATGAATAACATAGTAACATTCCCATAGATTTGCAGAGATCAAATCGAGGTAATTAGCATATCCATAATCTCATTTATCATTTCTTTGTGCTGGGAACATTCAACATCCTCCTCCTAACTCTTTGAAACTGTGTAACATATTGTTGTTAATTACAGTCATCTTACAGTGCTATACAACACTAGAACTTGCTCTTCCTATCTAGCTGTAATTTTGAAACCTTTAACAAATTGCTTTCTACCATCCCTGCACCCTATGCTTCCCAGCCTGTAGTATTCTGTTCTACTTTTTACCTCTATGAGATCAACGTTTTTTTAGCTTCCACAAATGAATGAGAACACACAGTACTTAATGTTCTGTCCCTGGCTTACTTCACTTAATATGATGTCCTCCAGTTCAATCCATGTGCCTCAGACTACAGGATTTCATTCTTGCTTATGGCTAAATAGTATTCCATTGTGTATGTATACCATATTTTCTTTATGCATTCATCTGTTGTTAGATACTTAGGATGATTCCATATCTTGGCTATTGTGAATAGTGCTGCAATAAACACGGGGGTGCCGATGTCTCGTCAATATACTGATTTCCTTTTCTTTGGATAAATGTCCAATAATATATTGTTGGACCATATAATAGTTCTATTTGCAGTTTTTTGAGGAACCTCCACACTGTTCTCCATGGTGGCTGTACTAGTTTACATTTCCACTAGCCCCATTTAAGTGTTCACTTTTCTCCACATCTTTGCCAGCATTTGCTATTTTTTGTCTTTTTGATAGTAGCCATTCTAAGTGGGGTGAGATGACACCTCATTGTGGTTTTGATTTGCATTTCCCTGATGACTAGTGATGTTGAGCTTTTTAGGAAAACATATTTGTTGGTCATGTGTCTGTCATCTTTTAAGAAATATCTATTCAGGTCATTTGCCCATTTTTCAGTTGGATTCTTTTTTTTTTTTTTTTTTGCTATTGAGATGTCAAGAGTTCCTTGTATATTCTGGATATTAATCCTCTGCTGGATACATACTTTGCAAATATTTTCTCCCATTCTGTAGGTTGTCTTTTCACTCTGCCAATTTCTTCCTTTGAATTAATATTAATTTTTTAAAGAAAAGTAACTTAAACGCTTGACAATATGGAATTAAAAATACAGTATCTTCAAGCTGGGTGCGGTGGTGCATGCTTATAGCTGCAGCTATCTGAAGGCTGAGGCAGAAGAGGATCGCGTAAGTCCAGAAGTTTGAGACCAGCCTGGGCAACATAACAGCAAGACTCAGTCTCTTTTTAAAAAATGGTATATTCAATTTGGGGAACATACTACAAATCCTCAAAAAACGGGTACAGAAGAAACATACTGCAACACAATAAAAACCACATGAGAGACCCCCACAGCTAGAATCATATGGAATGGGGAAAAATGGAAAGCTTTTCCTCTAAGATCTGGAACATGATAAGGATGCCCACTGTCACCACTGTTATTTAACATAGTACTGGAAACCCTAGCTAAAGCAATCAGTGCAGCCCCTGATATGGCCCCCAACCCACCCTGCCCCCTGCCACCAGCAGTGTAGCCCCCCCGCAATAGCGCACCCAACACACCCAAACCGCCCCGCCTCCCCGAACCACGGGCATTGCAGCACCCCATAGCACCCTCAACCTGAAACCACCACCCCCCCGCAACAGCCGTGCAGTGCAGCCCTGGATAGGACACTTAGCCCACCTCACTGTTGCCAGCAATACAGTCTGGGATAGTTTCCCCAACAGGCTCCCCGCCGAGGGCAGTGCAGCCCCGGTTAGGGCCCCCAAACCACCCCTGGGTGCAGGCAGCACAGCCCCAGATAGCACACCTAACCAGCCACCCAAGGTGGGCAGTGACGCCTGAGATAGGGCCCCCAACCCGTCCCAGGCCAAGGGCAGTGCAGCCCTGGATAGCGCACTTACCCCGACGCTTTTCTACACTCTGGCCGGTTGCAGTGTCCATCGCTGCCACCAACCGCAGCGGGCAAGGCAAGCCAGCGAGGCAAGGCGAGGCAAGCCGGCGAGGTGGTGAGCCAGGGAGGCCAGCCACAGCCCGGTAGGCTGCAGCCTCCAGCATGCAGTGGCTGGCACCTCCTACTCCAAGCTGGCAATGGAGCAGCTATGAAGTCAGATGCCGACGAGGCTGGAATAGTGCAACTCTATCTCTTAACATGCTTTATATACCGAGATTATAAACTACATGTTCTGATTGGATGAGAGGAAAACACTAGGCCTACTCTGATTGGACTTTATTGTCACGTTCTGATTGGTTAGCCTAAGACTTGTTCTGATCCAATCAGAACATGAAAATAACGTCCAATCAGAGTAGGCGTAGATGTTTCTCTCATCCAATCAGAACGTGAAGTCCGAGAACCAGGCCTGCACAACCCCCCAGTATATAAGGTATGCTAAGGGGGCGTCGCGCTGTTGCAGGCTATCGTGTGTTAACCTGTACTTCTGCCGCAGAGTTTGGAGAAAGCGGCAGCAGATTGTGCTGCCGCAGGCTGGAGCCTGGAACCTGGAGCCCTGGAGCCTTGAATGGTGTGTGGTGGCAATGGAGAGAGGCAGCTGGCAGTGACAGCTGCTCCGTGCTTGGCTACAGGAAGGAAAGAAGGAGAAAGCACCTACCATAGGCTGGAGGCTAGAGCCTGCAGGACTGCGGCTGGCCTCGCTGGCTCGCCTCCCTGGCTGGCCTCGCTGTGGTTGGTGGCAGCGACGGATACTGCAGCTGGCCAGAGTGTAGAAAGGCAATGGGGTAGGTAAGCTATCCAGGGCTGCCCGCGGCGGGGGCTGGTTGGGGTATTATTCCAGGTGTCACTGCTTTGGGTGTACTAGAGTGTTATTTTGGGCGTCACTGCTTTTAGGTGTGCTATCCGGGGCTGCACTGCCCTCAGCAGCGGGTGGGGGGGGGTTGGTGGGGGGCGGGTTGGGGTCACTATCTTGGGCTGTATTGATGGCAGCAGTAGGGCTGGTTGGGGGTGCTATTGGGTGCTGCACTGCCCGCGACAGGGGCCGGGTTGGGGCTGCTATTGTGGTTGCACTGCCGGCGGCATGGTGGTGGGAGGGCTGGTTAGGGTGCGGACTGGTGGGGGTGCTTACTGGTCGGGCTTCATTGCCGACAGCGGGGTGGGGATGCTATCTGGGGCTGCACTGCCCATGGTGGGGGCTTGTTGGGGGCGCTATGTGGGGTTGCAATGTCCATGGCAGGGGAGAGGTTAGAGGCAGTATCAGATGCTACACTGCTGGTGGTGGGGCGGGGCAGCGGTGGGTGCGGGTAGGTGCTTGGAGGGTGCGGTTTCGGGCGCTATCGGGCCAGACTGCCCATGATAGAGGGCAGGTTTGGGTGCGCTACTAGGGGATACACTCCTCACAGCAAGGGGCGGTTTGGGGGTGATACCCGGCCGGTGGCAGGCGGGGTGGTGGGGTGGGTTGTGGGCACCGTTCGGGGGCTGCACTGTGGTCAGTGGCGGTGGGGCGAGTTAGGTGCTCTATCAGCTGCTGCACTGTTTGTGGTGGGGGCTGGGTTTGGTGTGCTATCGGGGACCATATTTTTGGCAGCGGTATACAGGTTAGGGGTGCTGTCGGAGGCTGCACTGCCCATGGCGGGGTGCGGGTGGGGTGCACTATCCAGGGCATCATTCCCCCTGGGTGGGGGACAGTTGGGGGTGCTATCTGCTATGTAGGGCTGCACTGCTCGTCGTGGGGAGGGGGTTGGGGACCTTAAGGATCCATGGCTGCACTATTGACGGCATGGAGCAGGTGGCCGTGCTCTCCGGGGCATCACTGCCCGCAGCCGGGGGTTAGCTGGAGGTCCTATCCGTGGCTGCATGGCCGACGGCAGACGGTAGGATGGGGGAGTTATCTGGTGCTGCGACGTCCGAGGCAGGGATGGGTTGGGGGCGCTATTGGGTTTTACATTGCAGCGGCGAGGGGCGGTGTTGGGGGCGCTATCCCAGAGCCAACATCAGGCAGCGGATTAGGGGCGCCATCAGGGGCTGCCTTGCTGGTGGCGGCAGAGCTTGCAGCAACAGGGTCTCCAAGGAAGGAGCCTTCTTCCTCTTTCTGGATTTCAGACTCTAAAAGGCGATCTCCTCCTGCTCCTGCTAGAGCGCAGCGAGCGCACGGCGTTTCCGCAGTAATCCTGAGCACGGCAAGGACCCCTTACCCGCCGGGGTTCCCGGGGCCATGCCCTTTTCGCTCTGTGTTGCGGAGACCACCTGGCACCCCTAGGCACGCTGGACACGGAGTGGCGGGGACACCACGGGGAGACAGGGCTCTGTGGGTGGAGGCATTGGGATGGGGAACCGGCATTTGGGTGGGAGGGCTGGCTGTGTCTGAGTTCCTGCTGATTTTGTTCCCCAAGGAGCGCAGTCCTGGTGGGCCCAGCGGTTCCTGTGGATTGGAGCCAGGCAGTGTGATGTTACCAGTCACCACTCCAGGTCCCAGTTCCTGGCCCGCTTGAGCCAAAAGGAGAGGCTGGACTTTGGAGGGTGGATATGAGTGCCTTCACTGAGACTGGCCCCTGCCACCCAGTGGCCAGGATGACAAGGTGAGGCTCTAACGCTATCAGTCTCTGCATTCTCCTCTAGGCTTTTTTGGCTGTGTGTGTCCAGCTGTTCCATGCCAGGAGGAGGAGGAGTTACATGCTGGAAGCTTGCAGATAGCCTGGGGCTGCTGCTCGCCTTGCTGCGGTTGGTGGCAGCTACCGAGACTACCTCGCACCAGAGCGGTAGGAGGACGGCCAGCTGTGGCCATGGCAGGGGCAGGGCTGCGGCGGTGGCCAGGTAGTAGGAGCTTTGTAGGGTGGGCCAGTGCATTGAGGGCAACAGCAGCGATGGTTATAGTGACATCTGCGCTAGTTGTGGCAGCAGCCGCAAGTCCAGGGGCCGGGAAGAGGGAGTAGGAGCGCTGCGGGGCCTGCCCGGCCAGGCCTAGGGTGGGTAGGAAGCTTCGGGTGCTGTACCACAGGCCTCGGTGGAAGTGGTGGAGGAACAGCCAGGGCAAGGAGGAGTTCTCCCCCTTCTCCTGCAGTCTCTGGAGGGCGACCTCCTCCTACTGGCGCATGAGCCCGGTGTGAGTGTCAGCATATTATCTCACTCTTTCTTCCAATATAATACAGTCATGCACTACATAACAAGGTTTCACCAGTGATGGCCTGCATGTATCAGGGTAGTTCTATAAAATTATAATGAAACTGAAAAATCCTCATTGTCTACTGACAGCATAGCCGTCTTAACCTTGTAATACAACGCAATACTCACGTGTTTGTAGTGATGATGGCGTAAACAAACCTACTGAGCTCCTGGTTCTATGAAAGTATAGCGCATATAGGCCAGGCGTGGTGATTCACACCTGTAATCCCAGCACTTCGGGGGGCCAAGGCGGGCAGATCACGAGGTCAGGAGATCGACACCATCCTGGCTAACACGGTGAAACCCCGTTTCTACTAAAAATAGAAAAAATTAGCTAGGGGTGGTGGCAGGCCCCTGTAGTCCCAGCTACTCGGGAGGCTGAGGCAGGAGAATGGGGTGAACCCGGAAGGTGGAGCTTGCAGTGAGCCGAGATCGCGCCACTGCACTCGAGACTTGGCGACAGAGCGAGACTCTGTCTCAAAAAAAAAAAAAAGTATAGCACATTTAAGTATACATAGTACATAAAAGTTGATAATGAACAACTATGTTACTGGTTTATGTGTTTAGTATACTATGATTTTTGACATTATTTTAGAATGCATTCCTTCTACTTACAAACAAAAAAGTTAACTAAAATAGCCTGAGGCAGGTCCTTCAGGAGCTATTTCAGAAGAAGGCATTGTTACCATGGGAGATGACAGCTCCATGTGTGGTATTGCTTCGGAAGACCTTCCAGTGGGAGGAGATGTGGAGATGGAAGACTGATGTTGATGATCCTGACCCAGTGTAGGCCTAGGCTAGTGTGTGTGTATTTGTGTGTTAGCTTTTACCAAAACGAAGTTTAAGAAATCTGTATGCTTATTTTTTGTTCTGAATACTTACCAAGATACAACTTACAGAGAGGAAGCATCGAGGCACCTGAGTGTATCTTTTTAACGCTGACATTATCATTGAGAAAAAAATTAAAACACAGAAAAAGCTATTTTTCTTAAGAAAAAGTTTGAGTGTTTTTAACAAATCTATGAATTGATTTGCAATTTCATGGTATCTTTATTGGTAATGTACCTTCAACAATGCAATCATGTGCACATACTTTACTGAGGAGGCACTTAACACAGGCTGAATCACCTATAGATATATTCAACTGATTACCTGTGCCTGTGAGAATACACGAGGTAAACTCTAATGATGTATCAATAAGTAGAAAGCTATGAAGCAAATTGAGACAATTATCTAAATCATCCTGTCAGAAATTCCCTTTTTATCTGGACTACTAGGCCAATAAAATATCATTAATTTCTGGAACCTGTGAAGTTTGCCTCTGTTCAGTTAATTAGGGAAATGAGTCTCTAAACAAATAAATAATGTAAACCAGCAGATTGTGGTCTCCACAAGAGTCAAAGGCAAATAACTGCTCTCAACCATTTGTAAATCCAGTCAAGGAAAAATAGTTTTGTCATAACGAAGAATATTTTATTATAAAATTTGTTATATGATATTGATTATATAAAATATTTTAACATCACGTTAAATTAATATGTTAAGGGAAATTAGATTTTGAAATGTTTTATTCTCATTGCTCTATCTTAACTGTATCTATTTGAATGTTCTAGTAGCATGTAGAATCTAATAAAATATCAACTATATAGGGACCTGAAAATACATTGTAGCTATTACTTATCTTTGCGTTTTCAATGTCAGAAAGTTCATTGTCATAGGTAATCTAGTAAGCAAAAGTTAATAATTTTTCTGAATTTAATTAATTTAAATAATTGTATCATGTGCATTAACCAGTTCATGTAATCCAAGTTAAATTTTACATGCCCTATGGCAAGAAGTTCTAAATCCCTAATGTACATCTCTAAAAGACCTGATTTCTTTCCCCAGACTTATCTCATCTTTTTATCTATCCATCTCTTTCTTCCACTAACAAAAAATTCTATCTCAATAGTTGTAAATCAGTTGTATCACTAGTCCCATTCCATCTATGAGAAAACTCCAGTTCAGGGATGTTAAGTGACTTCATTAATGCCCCACAGCTAATCAGTAGGAAATAACCAGGAGTGGAGGCTAGAAACCACTCCAGATCTATAGTCTTAACATTGCGCTATGTTTGCTGTGTACTCTCTGACATACAAGTCATAAAAGTATTTCTCAATTCTCTGGGAAATTTCTACACTCCACTCTTGCTCAGCCTGTTCATATACCCAGAGCCCATCACTTATGTCAGCCTTTTGAGTTTTACAAATTTTGTTAAAATAAGATACCATTCCTGGTGCTTTTTCCAATTCTAAATAGAGTGATTTTTATTTTTGTGCAATTCTTAACCATTGGATCTATTCCCTTATTATGCCATTTGTCATTATTTACCAGCATTGTTTTTACATTTTTATAGGTATTCTCTTCTCTACTAATTTAGGGGCTCTTTGAAGATAATAATTACCTTGCTGTACTTTAAATACACCAAAATTTGTTATGATTGCTGAAGAAGTAAAAACAAAGTGAAAGCTACCAATTTTATTCAGTTCAAATAGTGGTATACCTCAGATATCGTGGATTCAGTTCCAGGCCACTGCAATAAAGCAAGTCAGACGGAAGTGTTTGGTTTCCCAGTGCATCTAAAGTTTATGTTTATACTACACTGTAGTCTAGTAGGGGTGCAATAGTATTATGTCCGTCGTACCATTTCTGTCTATTCAATATATTGGCTATGGGTTTGTCATAAATAGCTCTTATTATTTTGCGGTGTTTCACCAATACCTAGTTTGAGAGTTTTTAACATAAAGGGATGTTGAATTTTATCAAAGGCCTTTTCTGCATCTATTGAGATAATCATGTGGTTTTTGTCTTTGGTTTTGGTTATGTGATGTATTGTGTTTATTGATTTGCAAATGTTGAACCAGCCTTGCGTCCTAGAATCCACCTGGTCTTGGGCTTTTTTTGATCAGTAGGCTATTAATTACTGCCTCAATTTCAGAACTTGTTATTGGTCGATTCTGGAATTCAACTTCTTCCTGAATTAGTCTTGGGAAGGTGTGTGTGTCCAGGAATTTGTTCATTTCTTCTAGATTTTCTAGTTTATGTGCATAGAGGTGTTTATAGTATTCTCTGATGGTAGTTTGTATTTCGGTGGAGTTAATCATTTTTTTGTGTGTCTATTTGATTCTTCCCTCATTTCTTCTTTATTAGTCTAGCTAGTGGTCTATTGATTGTGTATTTTTTTCAAAACACGAGCTCCTGGATTCATTGATTTTTTGGAGAGTTTTTATTTCTGCATCTCCTTCAGTTCTGCTCTGATCTTAGTTCTTTTTTTCTGTTAGCTTTTGAATTTGTTTGTTCTTGCCTTTCCAGCTCTTTTAATTGTGATGTTAGAGTGTCAATTTTAGATCTTTCCCACTTTCTGATGTGGGCATTTAGTGCTATAAATTTCGCTCTTAACACTGCTGTAGTTGTGTCCCAGAGATTCTGGTACATTGTCTCTTTGTTCTCATTGGTTTCAAAGAATTTCTTGACTTCTGCCTTAATTTCGTTATTTTTCTAGGAGTCATTCAGGAGCAGGTTGTTCAATTTCCATTTGATGGTGTGGCTTTGAGTGAATTTCTCAATCTTGAGTTGTAATTTGGTTGTGCTGCCGTCTAAGAGACTGTTTGTTATGATTTTAATTCTTTTGCATTTGCTGAGGAGTGTTTTACTTCTGATTACGTGATCAATTTTAAGGTGCCACGTGGTGATGAAAAGAATGTATACTCTGTTGTTTTGAGCTGGAGAGCTCTGTAGGTATCTATCAGGTCTGCTTGATCCAGAGCTGAGTTCAGGTCCTGAATATCTTTGTTAGTATTCTGTCTCAATGATCTGTCTAATATTGTCAGTGAGGTATTAAAGTCTTCCACTATTATTGTGTGGGAGTCTAAGTCTCTTTGTGACTCTTTGCTTTATGAATCTGGGTGCTCCTATGTTGGGTGCATATGTAGATTAATAGAGTTAGCTCTTTTTGCTTAATTGAACCCTTCACCATTATGTAATGCCCTTGTCTTTTCTGATCTTTTTGGTTTAAAGTCTGTTTTGTCAGAAACTAGGATCGCAACCCCTTCTTTGATTTCTATTTGCTTGGTAAATTTTCCTCCTTCCCTTTATTTTGAGCCTATGTGTGTATTTGCACGTCAGATGGCTCTTTTCAAGACAGCATAGTGATGGGTCTTGGCCTTTTATCCAGCTTGCCTTTCTGTGTCTTTTAATTGAGGCATTAAGCCCATTTACATTTAAAGTTAGTATTGTTATGTGTGAATTTGATCCTGTCATCATGATGCTAGCTGGTCATTTTGCAGAACTGTGCATGTGGTTGCTTCATAGTGTCCCTGGTCTGTGTATTTCAGTGTGTTTTTGTAGTGGCTGGTAACAATTTTTTCTTTCAATTTTCAGTGCTTCTTTCAGGAGCTCTTACAAGGCAGGCCTGAGGGTGACAAATTCCCTCAGGATTTGCTTGTTTGTAAAGGATCTTATTTCTCTTTAGCTTAGGAAGCTTAGTTTGACCAGATATGAAGCTCTAGGCTGGAAATTATTTTCTTCAAGAATGTTGAATATTGGCCCCCAATCTCTTCTGGCTTGGAGGGTTTCCACTGAGAGGTCCACTGTTACTCTTATGGCTTTCCCTTTGTAGGTGACCTGGACTTTCTCTCTGGCTGCCCTTAACATTCTTTCTTTCATTTCAACCTTGGAGAATCTGATCATTATGTGTCCTGGGATTGATCTTCTCATGGAGTGTCCTACTGGAGTTCTCTGAATTTCTTGAATTTAAATGTTGGCCTGTCTTGCTAGGTTGGGGAAGTTCTCCTGGATGATATCCTAAAGTATGTTTTCCAACTCGATTCCATTCTCCCCATCTCTTTGAGGTACCCCAATCAGTCGTAGGTTCTGTCTCTTTACATAATCCCATATTTCTTGGAGATTTTGTTTAGTCTTTTTTATTCTTTTATCTCTATTGTTTCCTGCCTGTTTTATTTCAGAAAGATAGTCTTCAAGCTCTGAGATTCTCTCCCCTACTTGTCTCCATTTTTCTCGGGAGGTATTTTAACAAAATTTAAAGAAATTACCACACCGTTTACAATTACTGTGTATGTTTGTGTTTATGTGTGCACGTGTGTGTATGATGAACCCAAGGAAAGAATATTCTAAAATGAGGACCAGTAATGTTATTTTCTATAGTTTTTTCTTAGTACTGAACCCAAAAAAGGAATATCGAGAATGTTTCAGACAGTAGAGTAAGATAGAGATAAATCCTACAATTGCCACTTATAATCTGGGTAACTTTGGGAAAATTACCTTTCTTTTGAACTTATTTTATTAACTTTTAGAATGAGAATAATAAAAATACCCTCCTCATAGGACTGTGGTGAAGATTAAGAGAACTGATTAATATAAAACACAGCATGGGGCCAAGCATATGGTAAGACCTTAAGGAATTTTATTTCGTTAATTATAAAACACACATTTCTCCCTACATTTTAACATCTCAGTAGAGAAAATGTCTTAGAATTTATGTTCTTATAGTTGATGAAGCAAGGATTCTTACCTAAATACATGATTTATAATTGAAACATAGTTTTTTGTTTAAAAATGTTAGAAATCAACACTATGAAATCAGATACCAATTCTGTCAGTGGGGATAGTTTGCAGTGAGGGAAATAAAATGGAGAATTTTGCAAATTAGGACAAAATTAATATATGTTCTCTTTATTTTGAGTTTATTCATATTTATTCCACAAACATTTGAATGGATAACCATGTGCCAAATTCTGTGTAGGACAAATTTCATAAGATGAATAACATATATTTGTCTTCAAAGATCTAACACATGTTCATGGAAGACAACAGAACCATATAAGTACAGCATCAGTTATAAATATCTAAGCTAATTGTTTACATAGAAACAAGACTTAATTCATAGGAGAGGAGAGGGTGGGGAAAGAAAAAATGAAAGATGTGATTTCTGAACTAAGTCTCAACAGACTGGTAACATGAGTCAGGTGAAAGGTGAGAGGAAGTACGCTCTAAAAGGAGGAAATAAAAAAGGACTTGGGAGAAGAAGAGAGAAGAATCTCTCTTAGGAAACTACATGATATTTAATTTGGATGAAATATTTGCAGAAGGAGTAAAAATTCTAAGCTAGAAGTTTAAGAAGGGTCAGCTTACGGAGGACCTTGCCTGGTTATGCTGATGGGCTTAAACTGTGGCAGGAGTTAAATGAAAATACTCTGGAACAGTTTAAAATGGAGGGGTGATACACTCACAATTTTATTTCCAAACTGTTGTTCAGAATGAATTAAAGTGGATAGGATTGAAGACAAAGAGGATGGTTAGGAGCTTATTGTGATCATCATTAACAGTGGTATTGCACATGTAGTAAAATGGGCAGATTTGAAAGATTATGAAGGTGATAGAATCTATAGTACTTGATGATTAATGGAATGTGAAATAGAGATAGAAGTTAAGTTGTAATAACCACATCTCAGTTCAAATGATAAACAAATGCCATGCAGATCTAGAGCAGGGGCCATGTTCCCAAACAATTTGCCTGAGCCATTGTGCCTAACACAGTGCTGAGTCCACAATAAACCAATGCCAAACAGTTGTGCATTGATATATCATCCATTCTTCTGGAAATTCTTTGAGGATTTCACATACAGATGTCCATATTGAATTAATACATAATTATCAAGAGAAAAATAGCCCTGAGTCAACATTCTAGAAATGTTCAATTGTCTAGAGTGGATTTTCTCATTGTCCTTTTCCATAACAACATAGTGACTTGGAATATAACGTGGCACTAAAAAATAGAAGAATAAAAAGGGTCTTTGAAGCAATTCCTTTTTATCTTGCTTTATTCTTAACAGCAGTTCTCTGGTCTTAATTCTTTTATGGTTCCAGGAGAATTACATTTCAAATTCCGTAATTGCACAGGAGAATTGGAGTCTTGTAAAAATTTAGAATACTTTGTTCAAAGGCAACTTTTATTATGAACTGAACCTATGCTGTGATGCAGCCAAAGAAATTGTTTAGAGCATCATTAAAATAACCTTTTTAATAAGACCACTTTCTCTTGAAAAAGTGTAGTACCCTCTTATTTAATATTACCATATTACAATTGACTGTATGTTTGCTGAAAGTCTTATAGTATGGTATTTAGTTTATTGAACTAGCACAAAATATACATGAACTTTATCAGTTTTCATTTTCCCTTTAACAAACCAAGAACAATATTAAATGACATTTTATGACATTTGATAGGTATTTAAAATTTGTTATTGCGGCTCTTCAGTGAACCATAAAATAACAAGTGTCACAATATGGCTGTGCTTTCATTATGAGAAATGCAAGCAGGAAACATTTAAATCAGCATCATTTTCCATCAATGTTTTGCTCCTGATTCTCTGCCAAGTTCATTATCTCCTCTGTGCCTAAATTTGTCCATATGAAAAATTAGGAGAAAAAAGAATAAATTAATACTTGCCTCTAAAATGATCTGAAACCCAGGTATGGAAAATCTTACACAAGTTTAAAAGACTGGTTTATTCACTACTGTCCTCATTCGTTTGAACGGACCGCAATGTTCTGTGGGAGAGTAGCTGAGAGACTGATGCAATAATAGTCCTTTTCACACCTTCCATCCAGAAAGACAATTTTTTTATTTGCAGCTGAAGCTATTATATCCAGAGCCTATGGCTGTTTGCCTCTTCTAACGTTGGAAATTTTGAAAGAGAAACAGCAAGTAAAATGTGAAAATGTCCTCTGGGATATTATTTTATTACTACATGTCCCTTATTTAGCAAACTATATGCAATATAAAAAATTAAGTCTGGTGCCTGGTTGGCAAAAAATCAAATAACAGGTACTAAAGAAATAATGATGAGCTAACCTAAGCTCTGTGTGTGTGTGTGTGTGTGTGTGTGTGTGTGTATGTGTGTGAGTGCGCGCACGCCATAAAGCCAAGGTGGAGAGGTGAATAAAAAAGTCATTAGAGGAGAGGGAAAAGCCATATCGCTTGAAAAAAGCACCATGGTATCATGGTAGAAGAATGGGCTTTAGACGCTGGCAAGCTTGGGTTTCAATTATGGCATTTTGTAGTGCGCTATTTATTTCTGAGCATTAATTTCTACAATGAAAAAATACATAATACCATAGGGTTTGAAGGATCAAGTGAGATGATTGAAATAAAGTATGAATCAAGATGTCTGTCATTAATTCTCTCTTTTAATCATGGGAGCTATTGACAATGCAAAAGTGTACCCAGTATAGCAGTAGAATGATAGTGTATCTCTTGAGATAACGTGTCAGGTTGTTCGCTAATGCCTTTTTCATAGAAATATTGTTGAGCTGCCTTCACATAGATAGAACATCTGGGTTACAACCACTTTGCAGAAAAGCTACCAGGTACAGCTTTTTGAAATTGCCTGCCTGGGTTTAAATTACAGTCTTGTAGTAACTCTTTGGTGCATTTTAGTAACTGCTGAACCGTGTGATGTTGAGTCAATCACATTGATTGGAAAGGAAATTTAACGCATCAGACAAGGGAAAGTTACTAAGGTTAGTTGACATAGAATGCTCTTAAGTTAGTTCATGGTAAGTTATGCAAGTAGAGGAGATCATAGATAACTAAATAGCAGGCAAACTGCAAAAAGACTAGCAGAAGTTGGCCAGGCATAGTGGCTCACGCCTGTAATCCCAGCACTTTGGGAGGCCAAGGCAGGTGGATCATGAGGTCAGGAGTTCAAGACCAGCCTGTCCAACTTGATGAAACCCTGTCTCTACAAAAATATAAATTAACCAGGCATGGTGGCTGGCACCTGTAATCCCAGCTACTCAGGAGGCTGAGGCAGGAGAATTGCTTGAACCCAGGAGGCAGAGGTTGCAGTGAGCTGAGATCGTGCCACTGCACTCCAGCCTAGGCAACAGAGTGAGACTCTGTCTCAAAAAAAAAAAAAAAAAAAAAAGACTAGCAGAAGCACATCAGTTGTTACTATTCTGTAGCAAGTTCAACCAGAATGTATCTCTCTGCTGTTCTCACAGCAAAAATTATAAATGTTTGAGGTGATGGATATGCTAATTACCTTCATTTGATCATTACACAATGTATACATGTTTTGAAGCATCATAGTTTATCCCATAAATATATATAATTAGTATGTCAATTAAAATTAAAAAATAACGATAGCAACAACTATTACTCCCTTATATTACACTACTACAAGCGCTTTGTTTATAGCTTATATCCTTGGGAACCTTTTTTCTATTGCATATAGAATGTATGATACAGTCTGTGCTAAATGTCATAGAGCTTTTACAAGCCAGATAAAATTTGAGTGTACAGTTAAGAGGTCAAAAAGCCATCTGCCACAATGTAGAGCCCATCTCAGGAAATTAGGATATAAAAATTTTCCAGCAAATGATTTGTAAGAAGTCATGAGTTTTATGGGGAATAACTGGTTAGCCTGGTAACAGATCTAGTGAGTTCTGAAGAATCATATATCCCATCTATGCCCATATTGAAATAGTGGCAGTGCTAGGTTTGTTCTATAATGCATTGTGGGTAGCTGTTGCAGCCTTCTCCTACTCCATATCTTTATTTCATGTGGTCACTGACCTTATATTATTAAGTGTGTACAATATAGATTTAAAGGGTAGACATTGGGTCACCTTTGATGAAAGAGTCTTACTTCAAGAATATGTACCGTATTCTCTCAACTGACAGTAATTAATGTCACTGATATGGACAGTATTCATATCACCATAATGAAGCCATAAAACATTGTGGCTAAAATAATTTGTGAAGCTCATTTTGAAGAACTTGTGAAAAGCTAGGCCTTGGTGCCAAGGATAGAGAGAAAAGCAACAGTAATGAGGAAAGCACTGACACCTCTTTGGAGGAAAATGTGGCCATATTGACCAAAATTTAAAGTGTGCACACTTAGGCCAGGTGTGGTGGCTCACGCCTATAATCCCTGCACTTTGGGAGGCCGAGGTGGGTGGATCACTTCAGGTCAGGAGTTTGAGGCCCGCCTGGCCAACATGGTGAAATCCCATCTCTACTAAAAATGCAAAAATGAGCCGGGTGTGATGGCAGGTGCCTGTAGTCCCAGCTATTCAGGAGGCTGAGGCAGGAGAATCGCTTGAACCCGGGAGGTGGAGGTTGCAGTGAGCTGAAATCATGCCACTGTATTCCAGCCTGGGTGGCAGAGAGAGACTCTGTCTCAAAAAAAAAAAAAAAAAGTGCACAGTTTATGACTCAGCATTTTCACTTTCAGAATATTTCTTTCAGATATTGTGTATTTTGCAAATTTCTACATAAATTAATAAGCTTTCAGCATTATTTGTCATAGCTGAATCTTGGAAACAAATACGTCTATTAATAGGTGACTGAATCAATAAATCATGTTACATTTAGAGAATGAAAAACTACACAGCCATTAAGAATTAAGATAGATGTATACATTTTGATAAGAAGCAATATGTCCAAGAAGTAGTTCTAAGTGAAATAAAGTACAGAAATGTGTGATTAGTACGCTATAATTTATTTAAAAACGTGCTTACAAAGTAATGATAAATGATTGAGGTGACAGATATCCCAATTACCTTGATTTGGTCACTACATACTATATACCTGTATCAAAATAACACGTGTACCTTGTAAATATGTAAAACTATTACCTGTTAATATTATGCATTATGTAAATTAAAAATTAAATGCCCAAAGCCATGTGTTTATACACATATTTGTAAATGCACTGATTATCTATATGTGACTTAGGAATAGCAGTTTTCTTTTAGAAGAACTGAGGGTCTTGGGTGGGAGAGCTATCTTACTGTCTAAAAATACTATTCAATATTTATTTTTTTCTATGTGGCTGGATTACTTAAGTAAAAGAAAGCTTTGAAGGCAAAGCTAGTGTACTGTGTGTTTCACTTAGGACATCACTTAAGACAAACCAATAGTTTGACACAGGAAGATTGTTATTGATGATTGGAACATACTAAAGTAAAAAAATCTGTCCTCACATTCTTTTCATTTCTTCCTATAAGCAATAAAAGAGATTCTTACCCTTTTGTTCAAATTGAAATCTCCCCCTTCACATTCTGTATTCCATCCTCTACCACAGTTACAGGGAGCGAGTACCTTTGCTTACCACCTTTCTCTCCTTTCCCTGCTCAACCTTACCTTACAAAAACAAAAACATAATTCTTCCTTGATCTAACATCCCCCTTCAGTTTTCATCTCTCTCCTCTCCTTTAGCCAAGCCCCATGTCTATACCGGTTCTCTGTATCTCTCATTGTCACTTCACTCCTCAGCCTACAGCAATCTGGTTTCCTTCTCCACAATGTCTCTGAAATTTTGCCAAAGTCACCAGTGATTTCTATGTACCTAAATCAAATGGTTACTTGTAAGTTCGTGAATTGTTTGACTTTTTAGCAGTGTTTGACCAGACTGACAACTCTCTAAATGAAAATTCAAAGAAAATCCCATTTTCTTTGCTTATTTTCTTCTGTTTTTTTTTTCCCTCTTTATTTACTTTTCCTGTTTCTTTTTTGGTATTTTGCTTCTCCACCTATCCACTATATATTTATTTGTGCTTATTATGGCATTGCTGGTGGCTTGACGTTAGACTCTCTGCTCTTTTCTCATACATATTTCTTAGGCAGTATTTCTTAGGAAGTATATACCCACTTCAGGTCCAAATGCCCTTTCTGTGCTAACAGCTTCTAATATCTAATATATCTATTACCCTCTCCTGAGCTTGAGACTTTTCTGTCCAATCGCTGACTGGTTGTCTTTACTTGGATATCTCAGTGACACATAGTTGACCATGTGTACAAGTGAACTCATTGTGTTACCTCAAATTTTCCCTTCTGGGGTTTGCTATGTCACAAATTAATTACTTTTTGGAGGCAGATTTCCTTACTGTGATATCAAGAGTGAGTGAAAAAAGTGTCTGGTGAATAGTAGTTATTTCACAAATATTTATTGACTCAAGGATTGAATCAATTAATGATACCATGTATGATAAATATCATCAAATGTATAGTACAGAACATTTTGAAACATTTAAGATATTGAAAGACAAGACACCAAAAGTGCAGATTATCCTAATGTGGTAAAATTATGCTACCTCTCTAAGGATGACTATGAATAACAAGGAAAAAGAGTTAATCAAGCATTAATTCCCTGTTAAATTTCTTTCTGCTTAAAATATTTGGAGTTGTTTTTCTATCTTGTACTGAACTCTGATATGTATAGCAATGTATGTGTGAAATCCTGTGATTCAAGGGTAGAAACTAAATTAAAAAAAGGGAAGAATCAAAATTTAACAAAGTAGCTAATCTTTCTGAGGGCAAGTTGTCAAAATTTTGGCAATGGTGTTGAGTGTATGCAGTGTATGCATGACCAATATCCAGAAAGGGGTATCCTGGAAGAGGTTGTATATAGTACTCATCTTCACTCAGTGAATTTTTGACTGAAGGAAAATTTTTAAAAAATTTATTAGATACAAAGTAAGAACCCATGGTCCTGTGGGCTTTCTAAGGTAAAAAGACAAAAGGCAAGAAAAGATCTTTGCATCAAAGAGCTTAAAGTATTATAGTTAATTTAAACATATAGTTGTTTTACATTCTTTTAATAAAGGTTTAATCATATGCTTACATGAAGAACAAAGGAAGCTTAAATGTTGTAGTTGTTACTCTGTTCACCAGTATTTTGTTTTTCCTCCTGAGTGCATGATAGAATTGTACCTCCCTGACACTTGGAAATTAGGTGTGACCAAAAGACTACCCTGATTTGCCTATCGATTTCTGAATAGATGTAATGGCATGCAATTTTCAGATGGAAGTTGTAAGAGCTAGTGTGTGATTTGCCTAAGAAGGATGGTGACATTTTACTGCAGAGATAGAAAGTGAGGGCATATGGGCAGAAAGACCAGCATTAGCAAACCCATGGAAGACAGGGATTGAATTTATAGACATAGAGATACCTGAAACAGGGCAGCAAAATAATATTTTCAAGAACATGTTTTCTATCAATATTTCTAATTTAATTTTATAGCATCTAAGAAAGTGATATACCACTCACATAAAGTCTTAAACGCTCTACATTTTAATTAAACTTTAATTATATCTTTTAATTTCCATGGCTGGCTTTAAATTAAATTTAATTCTACTTACCAGGATTTTAAGAGCTTCTGAATTTGTCCTATCCTCAACTTTCTGCAACTGGGTTTACAGCTGTATTTTCTCACTACTGTTAATTGAATGCTGATGGTAGGGATAGTTCTTACTATTTTTTCCCCCTGTAACTATGTTCACTTAATTCAAGGTCCTCAGGTCTCTGTAAACCTTTGCATTCAAAAAACTAAAAAACTCCACACTGCTTCCTACTGCTAAAGGTTTTTCTTATTTCTGCCCCACAGGTTTTGGCTCAAGCTAAAGGAAGGATTGTGCTTGCCGTGAATGTAGATAGGCACAAGATCATATATTTCAAAGGAAATCATATTCAAATTCAAATACAACCTAATGGTGATCTTGTGGTAAATGTATCCACTAACACTCACTTTCTATTCCTTCCTAGTAATTGTTCAGTCTCCAGAAATTATTTCCGTAATTTATTCCTGTTATTTCAGAATTGAGTCTTTGAAGGGAATAAGCCCACTGAATTATATGTTGATACAGCCATTCACAAATTGCTTTTTTAATACATTCTTCAAAATGTAAAAATGTTGGTTTCAATTGGTCACTTTCTTCTCCAAACAATTTTTTTAAAGTGGATCAAACATGAAATAAGTTTATTTCTTTCTTTATTTTTTTGAGACGGAGTCTCGCTGTCACCCAGGTTGGAGTGCAGTGGCGCAATCTTGGCTCATTGCAACCTCTGCCTCCTGGGTTCGAGCAAGTCTCCTGCCTCAGCCTCCCGAGTAGCTGGGATTACAGGTGTGTGCCACCACACCCAGCTAATTTTTGTATTTTTTAGTAGAGACAGGGTTTTGCTATGTTGGCCAGGCTGGTCTCGAACTCCTGACCTTAAATGATCCACACACCTCGGCCTCCCAGAGTGCTGAGATTACAGGCATGAGCCACCATGCTGGGCCAAAAGAAGTTTATTGCTCACTTAAAATCTGAATGGGTGCTCCTGATTGGCAGGTTCTTCAAGTGCTGATTCTGGAATTCAGGACTTCTCTTTGACTTCATCATCTTCATAAATGTCTTTCAATGTCATTGTGCTCAATGGTATCAAAAATCATCAAGGCCCTTGTATGGGTAGGGCCTGAAGTGTTGCACAGCAGTTTTCATTGTTTTCTCTGAACTAGAACTCGGTCACATGACCACACCTAACTCCAAAGGGGACCCAGAAATGTGATCTACACTTGAAAAAGAGGAAATGGATTTGTCTTTTTCACACAATTGATATCTTAACTTCTGAGTTGACTAACATCTACCTTGTTTGATCTATATGTGGAGAAAAAGAGTTTATAAGAAATAAAGATGGGTAGCTCTGTGGATTTCTGGGCATAAGATCCTTCTGGATTTAGTGGGCAAGATCTTCAAACTGCCAATTGGGCAACATGGATGAAAAATTTGGGGTCTTGTGAATAATTTAAAAAGCAAAGAAAAAGAAACTTGACATTTTGGAGACAAACCTGTGTGAGTGTTTTATTGGTACAAACGTATTTAACACTAGGGGTTTTGTACAATTTTTTGCCTTTTCTACTAGAAAACAATGTAAAGTGATTTCACAATGTGAGGAGAAAAAAAAATTGCCGCTGTGACCAAACGCACAGTCTGTTGTGCAGCAACAATGGGCTTCGATCAACTCAGTCGTGATTCAGCTGTAGAAATGCTTTTCCTTCACCTTGTTTGAGCTTTTCCTTTCTTTCCTGTTTTGATTTGCAAAAGAAAATGTCTTTTTTGTGTGAACTTGTGTTGTACTCTGTAGAAAATTACGGGTTTTACTTTAATGGTTTAAGAAAAAAAGCAAGAAGAGCCCTCGTCGCTTTTCTTACCTCATCACAGAGTTTGTGTAGTGAATTTAAAAAGAGAAAAAAAATTGTTACAAATTTGGAGCAAGGGAGTATGTTTTTCAAAAGAACCTCCTTCCTTTTTTTGTGTGTTTTTCCTTTTGTCCCAATGGGGAATCTAAATCTGTTTTAATTGCACAGACACATAGACAAAAAGTCATTTTTTATCTGCCAAGTGTGGTACCTTTGTTTATTTGTTATTAAACTGTTTAGACCCAGAATTTTTTTTTTCTTCTCAGTTTCTGAGATTAACAAAATTTGAAGGTAATGGTGCCCCTCATGGCAGAAAAAGTTTGTTAGCGCAAAGATAATTTATTAAGATTAGGAGAGGAAACTCTGGAAGGAATACTGCTATGTTAACAGCCTGATCTGTGTGTGTGTAAGTGTGTGTGTGACTGCACATGAGCGTGTATGCATATTATGTAGTTTTTGTCTCCAATATGATTATCTCTGAAGATGAAACATACTCAAGCCTGCATAATGCACGTTAATTGCCCCCACTGGTCCCAGGATTGAGATCTCCAGAGACAGAGCCTCAGACTCTGGAAGGGATAAGTAATGAGGAATGGGGAGATTTGTGGCATGTTCTACATCTGAGTAAAGCCTGAAAGGGGCCTTTGTAAAGAAAAGAATCAAAAGGTGCCTTACTTAGAGGCTATTTGACTCCTGGGCAACATTTAGGATATGGAATTATGGGCAGGTGGAGCAGTAACTTTTCTGTATCTCGAAGTCCACTTTGTTTCAGATGTTGGTATAAAAAGGAGCATAAATTTTCATGACTATTTTCCTTCACAAACAGCTTTATTATTAGGCTTATTAGACACAGAATTAAGAATTTTTTTGTCAAATAGTAATTTTGTCCTTGCAGATTATCTTCAAAAGGATTATATTCTTAGAAGACAGGAAAATGGGAGTCATTGCTGCCTGTCTAACTAGTTCAGGCTTAATTTGCTAGTCAATGAAAAACAAGATGTACTAGAAGAATGAAATGTTCAAAGCTTTATGGAAACAGCATTTTGCAAGACCATTTGGTGCAGGTTTGGGCAATAATTTGGACTAACTCTCTTGTTTATTCTCTTTCACACAGATACAGCGTAGCACATATTCACTCATTGTGTGTGACTTGGAGAGAAATCTTTGTAGGTGGTAGCTAATTTATTTCATGAAATTTAACATTCTGATTCAAAAGAGTCAAAAGAAAAAAGGACTGGGGAATCTAAGAGATATCCAACATGACCCTTCAGTAGGCTAATCTTTTGGTACAGAAAGGTCCTCAATGCACAATTACTGTGCTGAAAGTGGATCTCGCCTGTGAGATACCCCATGCAGAGGACTATCTGTGGCAAATGGAAAGTGAAACCTTGCTTTTTTTTTTTTTTTTTTTTCCTTGTTCTCGTCCTCTGCCTCTTGGGCAGAATTTAATTACCTCTGTCCCTTCCCTGGTATTTGTTTGTATGTAATTGCCCCAGGTCAAGCTTTTTACACTTTTTCCTTGGGCTATTGAAATAATTTCCAAATTTTTCTGCTAATTTTATTAACCTGCACCAAATGGTCTTGAAAAATGCTGTTTTCATAAAGCTTCAATTATTTCATTCTTCTACTTAATACATCTTGTTTTTCCTTGACTAGCAAATTAAGCTTGAACTAGTTAGACTGGCTGGCAGCAAGTCCTCTGCCATGTGATTACCGTATATTTATACCTTATGTCTCACAACTTTTTGCAAGTACACTTGTACTATTTTATACTCTTCTCTGGGTATAATTTTTTGTATCCAAATCTTTCTACATTTTTATTATATGCAAATAATATTTTCCCGCCATCGTTATGGAAAATTCTATATTTTGTCAACGTTCATTTTCTTCTCAAAAGCCTTTTGTTATTATTTCCAAATGAATATTATGTGTGTCTCAGACAACCACAGAAAGTTTTGTTTTTGTCACATTCTACTGCTACTGTGTCAATGGCAGCATTTTGATATAGGTGGAGGGACGATCACATCAACCCCATAATTTGTGTCAGCTTCTCCTGAAGTTATCAGAAGCATACAATTTAAGTAAAAACAGTATCTTCGCTATCCAAATGATGTTCCAAGGTAAATCTCCTCAGATCCCTTCCAGTACATGTATGCTCCAAGGCCTGCTCTATGTAGAACTTTTGGAGCCATCAACGTACTGCTTGAGGTTGTTTTGAACAAAAGGTATTTGACATAAGCTCTATAAGATCAGGGACTCTTTTATTTTATTCATTGTTCTTTATCTTCTAGAGCAATAATTTGCAAAATGACTATTTATTGAATAAACTAGGACGGAGGTGAAAAGGAAAGAACAGCTCATCCTTCCAAGGGGAAGAGAGCAGTATCCCAAATCCAAATTGAAGAAAATAAACATATATCTATTCACCAGAAGAGATAGAAGGGAGACAGGGCAGAATTTCTGTGGTTCTTACTATCTCTGTCACCTCTACAGGCCAAACCAGTGAGGACCTTGGAGACTACTAATACCACTGGATTTGTAAATGAGTTCATCCTCTTGGGCTTCCCCTGCCGCTGGGAGATCCAGATCCTCCTTTTTGTGGTCTTCTCTCTCATCTACCTTCTGACCCTCCTAGGTAACACATCCATCATCTGTGCTGTGTGGTCAAGCCAGAAACTCCACACACCTATGTACATCCTACTGGCCAATTTCTCCTTCCTGGAGATCTGCTGTGTCAGTTCTGACGTGCCCATAATGGCAGCCAATCTCATCTCCCAGACACAGAGCATCTCCTGTGCTGGCTGCCTGCTCCGGTTCTACTTCTTCTCCATGTGTGCTGCAGAGTGCTTATTTCTGTCAGTGATGTCTTTTGATAGGTTTCCTGCCATTTGTAGACCTTTGCACTATCCCACCTTAATGACCCATCACGTTTGTGCTCATTTTTGTGATCTTCTGCTGGGTGGGTGGCTGTCTCTGGTTATTGACCCCTTTGACACTAATATCTCAGGTCCTCTTTTGTGGTCCAAACACTATCGACCATTTTTTCTGTGATCTGGCACCTTTGCTGGCACTGTCTTGTGCTCCAATACCTGGAATTACTCTGACTTGTGGTATCATTAGCGCTCTCATCATCTTTCTTACCTTCTTGTATATCCTTGGGACTTATTTCTGTGTTCTAAGCACAGTGCTACAGGTGCCTTCAGGCTTAGGAAGGCATAAGGCTTTCTCAACTTGTGGCTGTCACCTTGCTGTAGTGTCTCTCTTCTATGGTTCTCTTATGGTGATGTATGTTAGCCCAGGTTCTGGGGACTATCATGGGATAAAGAAATTTGTGACCTTGTTCTATACTTTGTCAACTCCATTCTTTAATCCTCTGATCTACAGTTTCCGGAACAAGGATATGAAAGAGGCACTAAAGAAATTTCTGAGGAATCGCCACACTGTCGATTGAACCAGTGTGGCGATTCCTCAGGGATCTAGAACTAGAAATACCATTTGACCCAGCCATCCCATTACTGGGTATATACCCAAAGGACTATAAATCATGCTGCTATAAAGACACATGCACACATATGTTTATCGCAGCACTATTCACAATAGCAAAGACTTGGAACCAACCCAAATGTCCAACAACGATAGACTGGATTAAGAAAATGTGGCACATATACACCATGGAATAGTATGCAGCCATAAAAAATGATGAGTTCATATCCTTTGTAGGGACATGGATGAAGCTGGAAACCATTCTCAGCAAACTATCGCAAGGACAAAAACCAAACATCGCATGTTCTCACTCATAGGTGGGAATTGAATAATGAGAACACTTGGACACAGGAAGGGGGACTTCACACACTCGGGCCTGTTGTGGGTTTGGGGGGGGAGGGATAGCAAAAAAAATTTATGTATGTGTTATAGTAGGAAATTTCTAAAGGATCCAAGAGGCAAATTTAATATAATTCATCATTAATGTTTAGAAGGATGAAAGATGATGAGACCAATGAGATCATGCTTTTTTCCATTTTATTCTACTTTTATATATTGGGAAGATAATTTGAAAGAATTAATTGGACCCATGGTTTCAGTCTTAGGAAGTTATTACTATTATGGTCCAGATATGTTTGTACCTTAAATAGATTTTTTTATTTTTGCAATTCTACTTAATATTTTCATCTATTTCTCTAAAACTGAGCTTCTGCTTACTCTTGGTTTTCAGTACATACTGTTTGGTATGTTTCAACATCCTCAGATTCTGCCTTCATTGAAGCAAGTTGTTTCATTTTTTTGAGAGCATAGCAATGGTTGAATGTATTGCAACTATACAAATAGTTTTCCACTGATCCTTCAAATTACCAGATTAAAACACACACACACATACACACCCCCAAAACTCTCAACAATTCAGGGACAATTTTAAGCTCTGCCTTTTTATTCTTTATAATTTGAAGTATAACTTCTGGGGCTAACAAGGGCCTTCAATAATATTATGTTGACTTGATTGACACCTCACATTTTGCCAATGCTAACACTTTGGCATATGTAGACACAAGAAGGTCAGGTGATGCCCAGTGCAAACCAAAGAGCCATAGAATCTGTGAGATCACTGACAATCTAGGCCTACTAAGCACTTTTTTTGTGTGTGTAGTTCTTCATTAAACTCTGGAAAAGTGTTCCTCGGGTAAGTTCTACCCTCTAATTTATTTTTTTGAGTAGCAATTTATTAATTTGCAGTACTGCACTCCATGAGGAAATCTTGTGCTAAATCTTGATTCTGGGGTAACTCCAGCACTGACTTTACTACCAAAGCGTAGTTAAATATTTGCAGCATTCTGCTGGATATTTTTACATGACGATCTATTTCAAATTCAAATGTCTAATCCTAAATTTGTTAATCTCCTTTTAAGTTAGCTCTAGCCATCCTTATTTTCTCATGGATCTGTTGATTTATAGCATGAACTTGAAATCTTGACAGTAGAATTCCTTACCATCTCATTCCCACTTCTAATCTGTCATTAAACAGATTAGGCATCTTCCCTGGGATCATTTGTCATCTTTACGCTCGTCTTTTCTGTGCAGGTTCCTAGCACTCCATATCTGTGATGGCATAATCACTTCATAAATGGTCTGTCTCTGTTATCTCCCATGTCAAATTCCAGAATTATGTTCTTGAACCTCCATCACTTATTTTCTCTCTACCTAAACACAGGAAAAAAACCCAAATTCTTTAGCTTGTAAATGTTTTTAGGTTCTGAATTTCTTCTTAAACTTTATTTTTACCTTAATATATGTCTCATCACTCCCATTTGACTCACTCTCTCTAATTCACAGAGTATAATCTTAGTTTTACAACCTGAGCTTAAAATTGTTCTATTCATACCTTGCCCATGTTTAGATGCCTCATACGAAACTTTCCTTGCCCACTACAGTATATCATAATGTTATTTTCTAAGTTCATTGCCTTTTGAGTTTTGCCAAATATTTACTCAAAATTGGTCTGCCTTTTGGGTATCTATTACAGCATTGTTTGTGCTATTTTTTACTTTCCTACCAGTTAGAATATAAGTTTCTTTAGGGCAGGAAATATGATCTTTTTACTGCTCCTGAATGGCTTCTGCAATAGTAATAGCTCAATTATTGAGTTAACAAGGTTATTCGACAAACATTTATTGAGCTCCTATTATGTATTAGGCATTATCTGAGCACTGAAGCTATAGCAGTGATACCTATTCCCATGCAGTTTATATTACAGTATGGGAAGACAGGGATCAAGAAATAGAGAAATAAATATGTAGGATACAATATTTCCTGTGGTGATACATTCTTTGAAGAAGGGCAAAGCAGATGATGGGAATAGATACTAGTGAGAGTGGGGATGCTCTTTTAAATAGAATAGTCTGGGAAGGCTTCATTTAAGCTAAATTTTGAGGAGACCTATAGGAAGTGAGGGAGTTCTGTCCTTCCTATTTCAAGTTTACGGTGAGCAGGAAAGCAAGGCAATCATCAAAATGAGTGTGGAAATGCTCTAACAAGTACACTTAGAGATCCAAATCCAAATGGTGGCTATCAAGAAAGGCAAGAAGTTTGGTTTAAAAATGTGCCTGAAGATGCACCATTGAAAAATGGCAGCAGTGTGCAGGGACAATGCCACCTAACCCGCGTTCAGAGCGAAGCCACCTGGTCGGCCACCGGCAGCTTGGGGAAGAAGGGCATGTGGCGCGCCCACTCCACCTTGCTGAAGAGCAGCCGTGAAATTTTTAATAATATTTTTATTTAACCCAACTCACCCAAAATAGTATTTCAACATGGAATTAGTATAAACACTATTAATGAGATGTTTACATTCTTTCATCCCACCAAGTGTTCAAAACTGGTATTTGATTTTATACTTGGAGCACATCTTAATTAGGACTAGTCACTTTGCAGGTGCTCAGTAACCACATGTGGGTCGTGGCTATTGTATTGGACAGTACAGGTTAAAGAGAGGTCTAAGGACTAAATACAGACCTCAAATAATATTGAGGTTAAACAAATACTAAATTGACTTTATTTTTCAGAATGAAGTTTCTTTGCCTGGAGAGAACAAGCATGCTCTTATTTCACGTATTTTCCTAATTGAAATCCTGATTTTGGCAGGGGAAAGAACCCACTGAGTGTGCTACATGTTGGAACTAGTGACCTTACACATCCATGCTCCATCTCCTGGGAAAGTCTTTCCTGAAGAATTGTATCTTCAGTCTGTTTGTCCTGATTTGTCCCAAACTGACAGAAGTACCTGCAGAGCTGGCTAAAATTTCCCTTTCAGACATTGCTGTTTAGGTGAGAGTACAGAGTGGTTGGGAGGGTCAATCAGTTGTAGAACAATACTTAGGTATAATCCAATTTATATACCCACTCAAAACCCAGAGATTTTGCTTCTATATGTACAGAAAGAGGACTTAGAAATACATCCACCAAACTAAACACGTTGCTGAGGAGGCATGTGTGTGTGTAGAGGTGTGGAGATGTGAAAATTTTCACTATTTTATAGTTTTTTTCTTTACAACGACTATTCACTATAAAATATATGATTTATTTGTATAATTAAAAAGTAGACAAAATGGAATACAATTCATTTCAGTGTAGCTAAGCAAGCCCCAGTTAGTAAAACTTTTATGTTTTTATGTACACATTTAGACTAAAAACATACTTTAAAATATTTCAATTTTATATATGAACATCTTTTTCAAGCACAATGAGAGCTTAGATACAAGTGAGGATTTTAGTTATTCAGTTAATTATGGTTCGTTGGCCCCCTCCCCCAAGTCTAAGAATTTTTGGCTTAAAGAGAAAGAGTAAGTGAAGAATCCTCTATATCCATTCTTCACTAGTTCTAAGAAGGATGAAAGGCAAGTGCACAACACTAAATCTCACTGCAGCTTACAGAGATTTTCCAGATGATAATTTATTTACCTTTAGTTTAACTTTTTCTCTCAGAACTCCAGATAATGCAGTAGTAACTTATAAGCAGCACAGTATCTTCTAACAGCATTCATCATGAGATAGACAAGTCCTCAACTACCCGAGACAGTGTTTTACCCCTTACTCATCCTGCTCCCCTTTCACTGCTGTTGCATAGGTGGATAATTTGATTTCCACCCTGTGTAATCTCTAGAGGAAACATAGCTCAGAGATATGGAATAGTCAAAATGAATGGGTTGTTTGAGTTATTTCTCTCTCTCTCTCGCTCTCTGTGTGTGTGTGTGTGTGTGTGTGTGTGTGTGTTTGCTGTCCAGTATCTCCATCCCTTTTTATGTTTGAGGTAATCCCAATATTATCAGGCTTGGAGCTTCTATTTATGTAATTGTTGTTTATATTGCCAGATATTAGCTCTCCTAGCTTCCCTTGCACTTAAAGTTGTAGGAATGTACTCTTGCCTTTACCAGATACAGCTATACCAGGCTTTGAATCAAGAAGCAGAAGTAGGAAGAGCAACAATGTTGAAATATTGGCATAAGAAATGACAATGAACAGGCTGGGCGCAGTGGCTTGCGCCTGTAATCCCAGCACTTTGGGAGGCCAAGGTGGGCGGATCACGAAGTCAAGAGACCAAGACCATCCTGGCTAACACGGCGAAACCCCGTCTCTAGTAAAAATACAAAAAAATTAGCCGGGCGTGGTGGCTGGCACCCGTAGTCCCAGCTACTCAGGAGGCTGAGGCAGGAGAAAGGTGTGAACTGGGAGGCGGAGCTTGCAGTGAGCCGAGATCGCACCGCTACACTCCAGCCTGAGACGGAGCAAGACTCCGTCTCAATTAAAAAAAAAAAAAAAAAAAAAAAGGTAGCACACTTGTTGCAGAAAAGACAAGTTCCTAGAACAGAATGACAGTGGTGCTCATGTAGCATCTTGGTGGCCTATAGCACAGCCATGACTGCAGTCATGATTTTTCATCATCAGTTCTGCATGGTGGTTTGCATATGTATCTTTGAATTTGAGCCTCAACTTTGGCTCTTTAGCTTTCATTGGTTCTGTGAGATTCCTGCTACTCCATCAATAAGTCCTTTTTCATTTACATAATCAGCTAGAGTCAGCTTTTATTGGATGTAAGTGAGAACACTGGCAGAATTATACTCTAATAGAGTTATCTCAGGTGGGTATAGTCTCTACAATCTGCAGAGGGCAAGAAGAACTAACGCTTTGGCATTGCAGGTTGCTCTGAATTCTCCCTTAGCTCCACAGTGGTCTATGAAGCTTTATCCCTTAACATATTTTATTGAAGAAAATATTCCAAAAGTCAAAATAACTTGGAAGAGGGTTTTAAGATGTCTGTGTGTGTCTGGATTTTTTTCACTTAGCATAATGTTCTACAGGTTCATCCACATCGTCACTAATGGAAGAATTTCTCTATTTTTTAAGGGCCAAATAGTATTCCACTGTGTGTATATATCACATTTTGTGTATCTACTCATCTGATGACAAATACCTAGGTTGCTTCCGTGTCTTGGTTATTGTGAATAATGCTGCAATGAATTTGGAAGTACAGATATCTCTTTGACATATTGATTTCAATTTCTTTGGATATATGCCCAGAAGGGAAATTGCTTAATCATATGGTAATTCTATTTTAAGTGTTTTGTGGAACTTCTATACTGTTTTCCACGGTTATATTAATTTACATTTCCACCAACAGTGCACAAATGTTTACTTTTCTCTGCACCCTCAGCAATACTTATCTTTCATCTTTTTGGTGATAGCCATTCTAACAGATATGAGGTGATACTTCATTCAGTTGAACTCTTAAAAGTAGAGAGTAGAATGGTGGTTAACTAAGGCTGGAGGGAAGAGGCGGCTGAGGGGAGGAGAGATGGTGATCAAAGGATACAACAATTCAGTTTGATGGAAGGAATAAGATTTAGTGATCTGTTTCATAGAATGGTGACTATAATAAATAATAATGCACCACATATTTAGAAACTACTAAAAGAGTGGATTTCAAATGTTTTAACCACAAAAAATAAGTATAGGAGATGATGAATTTATTAATTAGCTTGATTTAATCATTTCACAATGTAAATGATTATCAAAACATCACATTGTATCCCATAAATATATAATTATCATGTGTTCATTAGAAATAAAATTTAACAAATAATAAAAGAGGTATATGTTCACAGAAAAAACTTGAATATGAAGTCTAATGTAGACTGGATATTTTTAGTCAAATCATTAACTTTCTCTTCAACATATTGGAGACAACATCACAAACACCTCTCTTTCCTATCCCCCTAATTTTTGTGCCTTAGTTAAAAATATGAAAATTTCAGAGTGTTGGCAGGTGATCAGGTTAAGTAAAGAAGTTTATGTTAAGTGGTGACTTTTTTAAATTTTTTATTTATTTATTTTTTATTTATATGTATTTTTTATTATACTTTAAGTTCTAGGGTACATGTGCACAATGTGCAGGTTTGTTACATATGTATGCATGTGCCATGTTGGTGTGCTGCACCCATTAACTCGTCATTTACATTAGGTATATCTCCTAAAGCTATCCCTCCCTCCTCTCCCCACCCCACAACAGGCCCCGGTGTGTGATGTTCCCCTTCCTGTGTCCAAGTGTTCTCATTGTTCAATTCCCACCTACGAGTGAGAACATGCGGTGTTTGTTTTTTTGTCCTTGAGATAGTTTGCTGAGAATGATGGTTTCCAGCTTCATCCATGTCCCTACAAAGGACATGAACTCAAACATTTTTTATGGCTGCATAGTATTCCATGGTGTAGATGCACCACATTTTCTTAATCCAGGTGGTGACTGCTTTAAGGTAGCTTATATTTTGGTTGATAGAGTTGATTCCCTGATATCCTATGTTTATTTTCTGTAACAGTAGATGTTTCTTCACTATAAGCTCAAAGTATAGAAGCCCAGGTTTGAGTAAGAAATATTTAATTATTTGGCATATTTGAATGTATGCATGCCCTTCTATGCATTCTCTTCAGAGCTGGAACAGGAATTTCCCTTAAGAATCTATACCATTTCTAGTTTTTATTTGCTGCGCACCATGAACACCTTACCAAGACTTAGTAATAAGGAAAATACAAATTAAAAAACATTCTTGTTTCAGTGACGGATTCTCGTTCTTTGATATTATAGATAAAGCAATTTAATTTTTGTGAGTACAGTGAGTAGATGCTGTTTTTCATTATAGAAAAACCTATAGTTGGCAAGGAAAAAACAGTTGATAAATTTAAAACACATTTAAGATACATAAAGTTGCATTAGGATAAAGCCAAAATACAAATTAGAAACATGGGTCTTAGCTTTGTACATACCAACTGAATTACATATAGTTTTAGGACTTAAAAAATCTCCAAAATGGAAAAATGATACATAGATGAATAAAAATTGTACAGATCTTACCTACGATGAAACTTAGGACTTTGTATACTTTTTGCTTTGAGATAGGATCAGGGCTCTTTGTGTGTAATGAGTCACGCTTTTATGAGTAAGAAGCCAAGTGCTCAGACATCACCAGAAAATAGTTTTTTTTTAAAATGAGAGAAATTTTGCATTTCTTATGGAATAATTGTAGAAGAATGTATATCATTTCAGTGTGTTCCAATATATTTCTTTTGATGGCACTCCCAGCACTTTTTTAAGGGCATCTGTCATATCTTTGTTCCAGAGACTGTAGGTCAGGGGATTAAAGAATGGGGTTGCTGTGCAGTAAAACAATGTCACAAATTTCTGTGTCCCAGGGCGGCTCCTGGAGCCTGGACTCACATACATCACCATGACTGAGCCATAGAAGAAAGAAACAACCAAGAAATGGGAAGCACATGTAGAGAAAGCTTTGTTCCTGCCTGAGCCAGCTGGGACCCACAGAACAGCTCGCAAAACTAAGATATGGGACCCAAGAATGTAGAGGAAGGTGATGAAGATGATGAGAGAGCTTACTGTAGCACAAGTCAGAGTAGTTTTGGGAACTGGGGCACAGGACAGTGCCAGCAATGGTCCCAGGTTACAGAAAAAATGGTCAGTGATGTTAGGGCCACAGAAAGGCACTCGGGACATAAGCACTGCAGGCATCAGTATGGATAGAAAACCACCTGCCCTGCAGAAGGCCACTAATCGGACACACAGGTGGTGAGTCATGACTGTGGGATAATGCAAAGGTCGACAGATGGTAAGGAACCGATCAAAGGACATCACAGACAGAAAGTAGCCTTCTGCAGCACACATGGAGAAGTAGAAGAACTGGAGCAGGCAGCCAGCATAGGAGATGCTCTTGATATGGGAGATGAGATTGGCCAACATTTTGGGACATCAGAACTAATGCAGCAGATCTCCAGGAAAGAGAAATTAGCCAAGAGGATGTACATAGGTGTGTGGAGTTTCTGGCTTGACCACACAGCGCAGATGATGGATGTGTTACCCATGAGGGTCAGAAGGTAGATGAGGGAGAAGACCACAAAGAGGAGGATCTTGGTCTCCCTGCAGCAGGCAGGGGAAGCCCAGGAGGATAAATTCACTCACAGGCCCAGAAATGTTATTGGCTTCTATGACACTCATTCTTCTAATCTATGAAGGAAATGAACGATAGGGACCACTACAATAACCATTTTCTCTCTCTTAAAGTGTTATATTTATTTCTTTTGACTCCAAGACAATCTTTTAATGCACTTTTGTGAAAAGTTCCATATAGTTCTCAATTCAATAACTCACCTCCCATCTTTGTCTTAGTTCAATGAAATCAGGGTTATGGGAGAATGTGGCTCAACATGTTACTACGTGATCCCACAGCCTCCACTATATCATATCTCTGTTTTTCAGAGTGTAAGTTTCATTGACATCACATAACATAGGGTCCAAACGACTTTCTCTATTTGCATTTAAATTAATTCTGCTTTGATGTAATGTTTTGTAATACACATATTCAAATATTTATACATATAATTTCTCCCTATTAGAAAATTTTGTATTGTATTTTGAAAAATTCTAAGAAAAATCAGTTTAAACATAATCTAAAATTGAATTAGGTCAGTACAAAAAGAGAACCTCATTATGTTGTCAATAAATTATGTTTTTAGGAGATCTGTCCTGGATAGTTCTGTTGACTGAAGTAGGGTACTGAGGATGCTGCCACAGATTTCATGCTAGCACGTGTTTGTTTGCTCCGTATAGTGGCATTTAACTTCTATTTGCTGAGCAACAGCTAATTTGACACAGAAAAGTTGCCTTCAACCCTTTACTAGGAAGATCTTGCTCTATGATAGAAAAACAGCAAGAGGCAGATGGAAAAACATCTATTTCCTTAGCTCAGATGCCTTCTCATCTTGTTACTATACTGGTGATGAATTATCTTATATTAAAAAATAAACCATAAATTTAACTTTAAAAATGTGAGAGGAATACACCAGTGTAGAATGTTAGTGTCAGAAAGGACCTCTAGTCTTATTAAGCTCAATTTCCTCGTATCACAGAAACTGAGACCAGAGAGGTTAGAATGATCCAAAGTTATGTTGGCTGTTAGAAGAAAGAGGCCTAAAACTTAGGTGTTCATATATTCAGTTCAGACTTTTTCTCATAAGCCTCTGCTATTGTGGGACCCTGCTTTTTTTGTCAGCTCAGATGGTTGCAAAAGTATATTGTGTATGTATTATACTGTTCCTTCCTTTGAATTAGATCCCTATTTATAATAAAGGAGGACATTAACCAGGTTACTAACCAAAGCTGACAATTGCTACATCATATCCCCTATTCAACTTTGACCTGCCCTTTGCCCTAATTCTTGGCATCATTTATGGCATAAATCTACTTTTGGACACTTTCTTTAAAGAACATTTGACTTCTAAGATAGTAAGCATAACAACAACCACTGTCATGTATTAAATGTTTATTGTGACAGTTACATAATGTTCATTATCTCATTAAATCCTCCTCCCCTCTCCTTTCCAGTTTTAGAGTAGAAAAACACTCTCACATGTTTAAATGTACCATTTGAATTCTATTGTGCTTCTAAATACATTGAATCTAAAATTCAAGTTTTTATTCTGTCCAGCTTTCAGCTATGTATATAATGTGCTAGCTGTTTTCTCTCATTGCATCTGATTCCATTTGTTCACATGTAACTTGCTTCTATCTAATTTTTGCTTGTGAATTTGAAAGATTTGCCTCTGGACATCTGTGTTAGGAACTGAGGTTATATATCATAGGAAAATATTATTTACATATTTCTTATAGATTATGTAGTTTACATTAGATACATCACCTGAGGCCAGGTTTGTGTCCTTCCCTTCCATGCAGCGAGTCCTCCAGGCCCCAGGTAGGTCTAGAGGTGTTGTCTGGTACCCAGGGACTGGAGTCAAAAACCTTAGACGTCTACCTGGTATTCTATTATACTGCAACTGAGCTGGCCCTCAAGCCACAAGACACAGCCCTTCCCACTCTTCCCTCTTCTTTCCACAGGCAGAGGAGAATGACCCTGTGGCCACCACCATCACAGGCCTATGGTGAGTAACTGCCACACTCCCACCTGTGTGTACTTAAGGCCCACAGGCTCTTCAGTCAGCTTGTGGTGAATGCTGCTATGCCTGGGAATCACCTTTCATGGACATGGGCTCCCCTCTGGCCCAGAGAAGCTCCAGAAATGCCATAAAAGAGCCATGGGCTAGAATAGGGAACCTCAAGAGCCCCCTTGATGCACTATGCCCATTTGACTGTGCTGGTACTTAAGGTACAAGACAAAGTCCCCTTGACCTTTCTCTTTGCTTCTCTCAAGCAGAAGGAGTCTGTCACTGTAGTCACCACAGCTGGGAATGTGCTAGGTCTCACCTGAAGCTAGTATGTCTCGAGTCTCACCCAAGGCATATTGCATACTATTTGGGTGTTGCTTCTCATTATTCAGGACCCAAGGGCTCTTTAGTCAATAGGTGATGGGTCTTGCCAGGACTGGTTCTTTCCTTCAAGGCAGCAGGTTCCCTTCTAGCCCAGGGTGTGTCTAGAAATGTCATCTCGGAGCTAGGGCCTGGAATGGTGCCTCATGACGGACCAATATTCTTTCTTACTGTAATGAGCTGGGATCTAAGATGCAAGACAAACATCATCTTTACTCTTCGCTTTCTTTTATTCAAGCAGAAGTAAAGGATCTCTTTTGGAGCCACGAGCTGTGCTGCTGGGGTTAGGGGAGGTGTGGGCAAGGACTCTCTTAGCTGCCCCAGCTGTTGTTTCAGTAAGTCATGTGTTCCCAAGTCCATTGGCTCCAAGCCCAGCTCAGCACCAGGACTTGCTGTCCTTGTGGCCTAGACTGCCTGTCAAATTTATTTAGGACCCTAGAGTACTCCAGCTCATGGCAGCAAGGCTTGCCAGAACTCAAGCTCCATCTGCTGGAGTGGGCAAATTGCCCTCTGGCTGGACCTTGTCTAAAGGCTCCCTCTGTGGGTCTGTGTCAGCTGAGTTCAGCACAGTTTTGCTTTCCACTGTGATAGGGCAGCACTGAGTTCAATGCAAAGTCTCACGATTGCTGCACTTTCCCTCTCCCAAACACACATTTCTCTGTGCCATGTGGCTGCTGTAGTGGGGATGAGGGAGAGTTGGCATCAACAATTCACGGCTCTCTTTCTGACTCTCTTTAGTGCCTCTTTCAATGATACGGAGATAAAACCAGGTATTGTGAGTGCTCATATTATTTTTGGTTCTTATGAAGGTGCTGTGTTTGTGTAGACAGTTGGTACATTTGGTGTTCCTGTGGGAGGACAATTGATGGAGCCTTCTATTCCACCATTTTGCTCCAGCCACTTCCAAATGCTTTTTCTTTTTCTTATTTATTTATTTTTGAGATGGAGTCTCACTCTGTCACGAGGCTGGAGTGCAGTGGTGCAATCTCCGCTCACTGCATCCTCCACCTCCCAGGTTCAAGCAATTCTCTTGCCTTAGCCTCCTGAGTAGCTGGGGTTACAGGTGCACACCACCACACCCAGCCAATTTTTGTATTTTTATTAGACATGGCGTTTCACCATGTTGGCCAGGATGGTCTCGATCTCTTGACATCGTGATCTGCCCACTTTGGCCTCCCAAAGTGCTGAGATTACAGGCGTGAACCACTGCACCCGGCCCCAAATGCTTTTTCTGAATCTATGGAGATTATATGTTTTTAGTATTTTTGTTAATGTGGTGTACTACATTTATTGATTTGCATATGTTGAATCATCCCTGCATCTCAAGGATAAATCTCTCTTGATCATGAGGTGTGATACTTTTAATGTGCTGTTGAATTCTGTTTGTGAGTATTTAAGTTTGTTGAGAATTTTTGCATCTTTATTCATCAAGAATATTGACCTGTAATTTTCTTATCTTATAAAGTCTTTGGCTTTGATATCACAGAAATACTAGCCTCATTTAATGAGTTTGGAAATGTGGTTTTTCTTCAATAATTTGGAAGAGTATATAAAGAACTGGTAATTTTTAAAAAATGTTTGGTGGCATTTATTAACAAAGCCATCTCTTCCTGAGCTTCTTTGCTGAGAGGTTTTTAATCAGTTTTTTATTGGTGATGCAATCTTCTTATTCACTATTGGTCTGTTTAAATTTTCGGTTTCTTCATGATTCAGTCATAGTAGGGTGAACATTTCCAGAAATTTATCATTTCTTCTTGGCCTTCCAATTTATTGTCAAATAATTGTTTATAGTAATCCCTTATGATCATTTGTATTTTTATGGCATGAGTTGTATTGTTTCTTCTTTCATTTCTGATTTTATTTGGGTCTTCTCTATTTTTTCTTGGTTAGTCTAGCTAAGATTTGCCAACATTATTTTATATTTCATCGATTATTTCTATTGTTTTCCTATTCTGTATTTGATTTATTTAATTTCTGTTCTAATCTCTGTTATTTAATTCCTTTGGTAAATTTGGGCTTAATTTGTTCCTTTTTACTTCCTTGAAGTTTAAAGTAAGGTGGGTTTGTTTTTGGACATTTTTCTTATGTTTAGAGTAGATGTTTATTGCTATACTGCCTCAATACCACTTTAGCTGCATCCATAAGTTTTGTTATTTTGCGTTTTTGGTCTTTTTTTATAGGTAGATACATTCTAATTTCCCTCGATATCTTTTTGACATAATGGTTTTTCAAGAGTGTATTGATTTCCACATATTTGTGAATTTTCTAGTTTTGCTTGTTATTGATTTTAGTTTTATATCATTATAGATAGAAAAGATACTTTTCCTACTTACATAATTTCTATATTCTTAAATTTACTTGTGCTTGTTATGTGGCCTAACAGATGACCTATCCTGAAAAATGTTATATAGTCACTTGAGAAGAATGTGTATTCTGCTGTCACTGGATAGTTCTGTACATGTCTATGAGGTCCTTTTGTTTTATAGGATGTTTAAGATTGCTATTTCCCTACTGGTTTTCTGCTAGAGATTCATTCCCATTATTGAAAGTGGCGTAATGTTGTGTCTCATTGTTATTTTATTGCTGTCTATTTCTCCCTTCAAATCTGTCAATGTTTGCCTTATATATAGTTAGGTACTCTGATCTTGGGTGCCTATACATTTATAGTTGTTCTAACATCCTGATAATTGACCTTTTTATCATTATATAATGACCTTTTTTATTTCATGTGACAGTTTTTAACCTAAAGTCTATTTGGCCTGGTATAAATTTAGCCACTCCTGCTGTCTTTTCGTTATGATTTGCATGGAATATTTTTTTCCCTCCCTTCACTTTCAGCCTTTGGGCATCCTTGAATCTATAGTCTCTTGTTGACAGCCTATAGTTTGATTTTATTTTTTAATGCATTTGGACGTTCTTTGTCTTTTGACTGGGGAATTTTTAATCCATTTACAGTCAGCTGGATGTAGGTTCCACATCCACAGAGTCAACCAACCATGCATAAAAAAAATCACACACCCCCATAAAAATAACTGATAAAAAATGGAATAATAAAAGTAATGCAAACTAGATGGTGTAACAGGTATTTATATACTGTTTACATTCTATTAGATATGATAAGTAATCTAGAGATGGTTTAAAGTATAGGGGATGGTGTGCATGGGTTATATGCAAATACTATATCACTTAATATAAAGGACTTTAGCATCCATAAATTTTGGTATCCACAGGCGATCTTGAAACCCATCTTTCATGGATACTGTGGGACAACTGTATTTACAAAGTTGTATTAATAAGTAAGGACTTGCTATGGCACTTCATTTTATTTTTTCTGTCTGTGTTATAATTCTTCTTTCTTTTTTCTCTTGCTGTTTTCTTTTGTGTTCATTGATATTTTTGTATTGATATGTATTTATTTCCTTTTTCTTTTGTATATTTTCTGTAGTATTTTATTTTTTTGGTTACCTTGGGGCTTATGTAAAACATCATATATATGGAGGCAAAGTTTATTCTAAGCTAATAACAACTCAACTTTAATCACATAAAAAATTCTGCACTTCTCCCACTTTGTTATTGATGTCACAATTACATCTTTTATGTGTGTATATCTACTATTATACTTCTGTAGTTATAGTAATTTCTACTTTGTTGTCTTTTGACTTTCATATTAGAAAAAGGTGCACCACCATTACAATGTTGCACAATTTTGTATTTGTTTAAATAATTAGCTTTTCCAGTAAGTTTTATATTTTAATATGCTTAGTTATGCTTAGTTTTGCTATTTAGTATTATTTTGTTTGAGTTAAAGAGCTCACCTGTCATTTATTTTATGACAAATCTAGTGGTGATGAAGTTGTTTCTCTCAGCTTTTGCTTGAGAAAGTCTTTATCTATTCTTCATTTTTGAAGAAAATTTTTTTCCAGAAATTGCATTCTTGGTTGAGAATTTCTCTCTTTCAGCATTGTCTTGCTTCTTCAAAATTCACTCTTTTTGACTTTTGACATATAATTATAATATGTCTTTGTGTGGACTTCCCTTGAATTTGTTTTATTTCAGTTGCATTTGGCCTCATGTATCTGTATGTCCTTTTTCTTCTACAGATTTGGCAAGCTTTTAGCCAGCACCTTACTTTCCTTCTTATTTTTCTCTTCTCCATCTGGAACTTTTGTGATCAGTATATTATTTCACTTTATGATGTACCTTAAGTCCGTAGGTTCATTGGCTCTTTTTTATTCTTTTTTCTTTTGCTCCTTTGTCTATATAATTTGAAATGACTGGTGTCTGGATTAGCTGATTCCTTCTTCTGTTTGATCAAGTCTACTTGTGAACACCCCCTAGTGATTTTTTTATTTCCGTCATAGAATTCTTAGCTCCAGAATTTCTAATTGTTTCTTCTTGTAAAATTTCTATATCTTTACTTCAATATTTTTATCTTGCTCATCTATCATTGTTGTGATTTCATTTAATTGTGTCTCAGTGTTCTCTTGTGGCATGCTGAATTATCATGGAGCCCCAGAGCTCTCCTTTCCTCATGTGTGCTGCTTCTTTCATATGTGATAACTATAATGAACTTTAACAAATCTCAAATTCGAGTACATTCCCAATCACCTTCTAAAAGTAACCTCCTAACCTCCACTGATTCCTCAGATGTGGTAGTTTGAAAGTTGTTCCCATAGATTTCAACTACAGGCCAACCAGAGGGGACCCATGGCCACTAGAATGGTCCAGTGACCTTTATACTTCAGTGTGTGTAAAAATCACCTGGGATCCTATTTAACATTCAAGTTTCTGAGCCTTCCCCTAGCCAGTAGATTTTATATACAAAATGTGAGGGAACCATTACCCTTTTCAAGTGATTAAAAAAAATCAGAGGTGAAGCAATTAGATTTGGCTACATTTAATTTGATGTTTTATCTTTCAAGAGATTGGGATGGTTCTAGTGAAAATTATAGCTAATCTGAATATGGCTTCTAACTGTTACTGGGTGCTTATGTCTTTTCTTTACTCTGATCAACAATATTGGGCAGGTGTAGTGGCTCACGCCCATAATCCCAGCACTTTGAGAAGCCAAGGCGGGAGGTTCACTTGAGCCCAGGAGTTTGAGACCAGCCTGGACAACCTGGGGAGACCTCCATCTCTGCAAAATAAAACAAACAAACAGACAGACATAAAAACACCTAGCTGGGCGTGTTGGTATACACCTTTGGTCCCAGCTACTTGGGAAGCTGAGGTAGGAGGATTGCTTGAGCCACAAGGTCAATGCTCCAGTGAGCCGTGATTGTGTCACTGCACTCTAGCCTGGAAAACAGAGCAAGACCCTGTCTCAAAAAACAAACAGCATACGTCTTATTGTTTTGTTCGCTTGTTTCTGAAATAATCTCGTTAGTAAAGCACTATACTTGATAAACAGTCTGATTTAATGAATAAGGATTTAAACTTTAGATTTTGGAGAGACAAGATTAACTAACCGTTGATCACAAGGAGCACACTGTGCAACAAGCTACTCTGATAGGACAAAAGTCCTAGGAGGGCTATATAAGCAAAATCTCATTCAAGGACTGAACTTTAAGCCCTATTCACTTTTAGCTAATCAAGTGATGGGCAAGTTGACATCTATAGGGAAGAGAGAAGAGGATGTGTTTCTGAGCTTTCCTTCTTCAGTCAGGCAACTCTGTGATTCATTAATTTCCTCCCTTCCTTCTCCACACCCTGGCATGTTGGCCCATAGCCACAAGGTGGCAGGATAACCAGTAACATTTTATTCAAGCCAACTGAAGCCCTGCGGGGGCTTTGAAGTTCACACACACTGTCCACCTTCCACATACTGATGCTGGGAGCAATTTAGAGCAAACATCATCCAGAGTCATATTACTAGATGACTGGATTGCTTCTTTTGTCCCTCAATCCTGCTCTCCTTTCAGTGCTAACTCAAGAAAACACTAAGTTTACACTTTGCAGGAGCCCCTGGAATAGTTAAAGCTTTAAACCATTTCACATCCAACTCAATGATCTGTTACAAAAAATACCTGTTGATTTTCTGTTATTTTAATGGATACCTAGCTTCCTTTTATAAATTGGCATTACAATAGTCTGGTATTAGTATTGATCTGGAATCTATGTGCTTCCAGATCAGTCCCATTCCTTTTACTTTTAGAATAAGACAAAATGTAGCTCAGACACCATTCTTCCATGAAACCACATCTCTCTAAGAAGATGCTGGAAAGTCAGTCTTTCTCAAAAAGTAGTTTTCCCCTCAAGTTTCAACACATTACTCCACTGTAAGTTTAGACAGTATAAATATGTATAAAATATATATATATAATATATATATATTTTAGTATAATATTATGCTTCAGCTTTTCCTGCATGTTTTTCTTTCTTTTCTCTTACACCCTTCTCTGTGATCTCATCTGACAATCACTACCATGGCAACCAAGCCTCTGTGATGTTCCAGCAAGCTCATTGTCTTCTCTTCACTAAACTTTAGTTAGTAGTTGGTCCCAGTCAGTAACACTCTGGGAGGGCTCAGGCCACATCACGAAATGTGACAGGATAGCCTTGAACTCATCAATTGCTGGGTAAGAAAGAATTTTAATGCAATGGCAAACAACCAATCAAACAAGCAAACAAAAACAATAAACCCTTCCTTGAGGACCAAGAAGACATTGATTAGCTAACCTAAGAGCTCCAGGTGGAGATCTAGGTCCTGATTCGGTTTCTGAATTTGACCACTAGGCAGAAAACTAGCACCCAAAACCAGTTGGAATAAAATTACCCACCTACAGTGGAGCCAAGGCCCCCAGATCCTTTTTGTCAGGTAAGAATAGGTTGAAATAACCTGGCTGGTTGTGGGACAGGCCCCCTCTGTGAGTGGTGCAGTTAAGGACACCCAGACTGCCCTTTCACTCTGCTTTCCCTGGGGTAATGTGTATGGCTCCTAGTCTTTCACGTTCTCTTCTGTAATTCGGGAGGAGGAAGAGAAGATACTCACTGCACATATTGTGTCAGTTAATACTAATCTGAGAGCAATAATTTACGATCTTTTGAGGTGAGGTTTGATTTTTACCACTGTGCTGTTCCTGTCTCCTAATATGTTGTATCAGATTGTAACTAAGTTGAGGTGAGAATTAATTGAGGACTATATATTTGAGCCTCCTTAGAATCTCACCCACCTTTGAGATAACTTCATGTTTTAGGTTTTCTCAAGTCAGAGTGTTGAGTCCTTAAATCAGTATATGCTGGGCAGTGAAAAAACACTGGTACACTTTGATTGCCTAAGCTTAGTGAACAGCAGGGGCGGTGGGAGGCAGGCCTTTTTAACACCTGTCTTTGCTGAGTTTCATGCTGAAAAAGCCTTGAGGCTCAGACTCAGCCCACAGGTCTCTGCACTCCCTCCATCTCCCTTCTGCCCTTTCCATGCATAGCCTTCACAGCAGTTTTTTGTGAATTATTTATTTTTTTGAGCTCTCTCTTAAGGTTAATTTTTCTTAAGAAATATTTACTCTCAATATTATAAAGGTGTAGAAGTTTATTGTAGAGAAATGTGGGAAAACATATTGGCAAAAAGAATATAAGGATAAAACCATTTAAGGTTTCCCCTTCCATCTATACTTATATTTATAGTTGGGCTCTAATGGCATTTAAATGCAAAATGTAATATACATGTTTATTTATATTTTTAAAATATTAATAATTGATTAGTTAATTCAACAATAATAATTGTTAACATTCCAGACACTACTATAAATACTCATGAATACAGCAGTGAACAAAATGGATAAAAATTATTGACTTGTGGAAGTTATATTGTAATGGGGGAAGACAGGGTAAATAAACTATGTGGCATGCTTGGGGGGCGATGAGTAAAGATGGAGAAAAATTAGAAGGTTCAGGTCAATAGGAAGTGTGTGTTGGAGGTGACAGGTGGCAGGTGTACATTTTTCCCTCAGCTTAATTAAGGTTTAATTTGAAAACATTGTATATATTTATGGTATACAAGGTGATATTTTGATATATGTGTACATTGCAAAATGATTAAATCAAACTGATTAACATATCCGTCACCTCACATGCTTGCCATTTTATTGTTGTGAGAACATTTAAGATCAACTCTCTTAGCAATTTTCAAGTATTCTTTTGGCCCTTAGTATCTGTGGTTCTGCATCTGCAGATTCAATCAATCACAGATGGAAAATATTTAGAAAAAAATAAAAATAACAATATGACAAAAAATAATTCAAATATATAGTATAACAACTATTTACGTAGCATTTACATTGTCTTAGCTACTATAAGAAATGTAGACATTATTTAAACTACATGGAAGGATGTGTGTAAGTTATATGCAAATACTGCACCATTTTACATGAGGCGGTTGAGCATCTGCTGATTTTGTTGTCTCCAGCGTGAGCTGGAACTAGTCTCCCCTAGATATAAAGAGACAACTGAACAATATGTTATTATTAATTACAGTCACCATGCTATACAGTACATCTCCAGATCTTATTGATCTTGTTTAGCTGAGACTTTGAACTCTTTAACCAATATCTCCCCATCCCCACTGGGTGTAATTTTCAATAGCTAGTCAGGGAAGGCCTCACTGAGAAGGTGATATTTGAGAAAAGACTTGAAGGAAGTGTTGGGGCAAGAAATATAAATATCTAGCAAAAGAGCATTACAGGCAGAGGAGATGGTATGTATAGGCGCCACAAGGCAGGGGGATGGCTGGCATGCTTAACACACAGCAAGAAAGCCTCATCTCTTCTTCATGCCTGCCTCACATTGAATATATTTAAATATGGTTCCCTCCCCATCATAACCCTGCAATGGCCATTGCAGAAATCACCAATAACATTCATGTGTCTAAGTCTTATGGACATTTTTTTTTCAAGATGTATCTCTTCTCAGCAGAATTCAGCACTGCTGTTCCAACACATTTTTTCCTTTGGCTTCAGTGTCAACTCTACTCTACTTTGCCTCCTGATTGCCCAGAAAACTCCCACATTTCTGGCTACAACTCCTCTATTTGATTTGTGGGCTTCTTTTCCTTTATTTGGCCATTAAATTCTGAAGCTCTGTGAGGCTGAGTTCCAGGCCTTCACATCTTTCAATGCTATACTATTGTCTAGGTCATTTTCTTCTCCAAAGCTTTGGTTATTACTTATTTGCCAATGAGTATATCAAATTGTTAATACAAATTGCATCCTCAGAGTTCCAGATGACAACTGCTACATGGTATTAATATTTGACTGCTGGATGATAGTTTTACTTGAATGTTTCAGGGGCACCTCAAACTCAACTCCAAAATTGATCTAATGAACTTTCCCAAACCACATTCCCTTCTTGCATTTCTGAGAGAATGGATTCCCATTCATCTGACTACAGTGCTACCCTGAAAGCAGATCCAGAGACTAAGATTCACCTGCAGGTGATTCATTTGGTAGGTATCAGAATCTCTGGTAGGAGAACTGGGAAGTGGGGCAAAGACCCTTATAAAGAGTGAACTATGAAGCAGTTACCAGAATGGATAACTGTGGATTAAACTTGGAATAACTCTGAGATCCAGTGTAGATAACTCATCTCAGAAACATGCTGAGAGATAAAGGGTATTCGTACAACAGTTTCTGATAGTCATTAGTTATGGACTGTCTCCTAGCCGCATTGATTCCTCAGCATGCCCAACCTGCAGCAGGGACAGCAAAAGTGGCTTCTGTGATCAGAGAAAGCCCTCAGGTAAGGAAATGCAGGGGTGAATGCTGGAAGTCAGGCTGGCATGCACTGAAGTATTAGGGTGAGACGCCATGGCAAGGTATCTGACCATCTTTCTAACCGTTCACCTCCATTTCCAATCTTTAAATACATTTTACTTCCCAAATATGTAATAATATGCATTTCCTTCAATTTCTACCACCACCTCTACTGACTGCCTCCATCTTTTTCAAATATACTTGCCTCATTCAGCACATTCACATTGTGCAACCACCACCTCTTTTGAGCTCCAAAACACTGCCATCACCCCATAGAAAACCCCAGTCCTCTTCCCCTCCATCCATGGCCGCCACCTGGAGTGTGTTTGGCCCATGGAGGACACTGCACATTGTTGGTGGGCATGATTAAATAGTTGCTGCTTTTCTGCAGTTATCACTGTATTTTGAGTGAAAGTTTCATAATTTTCAGTGTTTTATCTGGGTTGATAGGATCCAATTTTAGTTTTTGAGTTTCTTTTTTGAGCAACTATAACAATTTTAAGGATTAACATGTCATGACATTTATTCTTTACTAGAGGTCTTCCAAAGAACAAAGATAAATTTACTTATTTTAAAAACAGAATAAAATTCATCCTGTCTTGCAAAAATACACAAAAATACAAAAACAAATATACTTGCCTCATAATTAGTTTCACATTTACCCTTGTCCTTCTCTAAACTCTTCACTACCGTGGCCACAGTTACTGTTTCAAAAAGGGAGATGAAATCATGTCATATTCTATTCTCTGTGCCTGAAATCCACTTTTCACCCTCATCTCCCTTTATTTAAAGTATGTTATTCATTTTTCTAGGGTCTCAACTCAAGCATTCCTTTCTCAAGAAGCCTTTTATGGTATGAAGAGTGAGACAGAGTTCCCTGCGCCACCTCCATTGAATCATGTTAGGCCTTAATGTACCTTTCCTTTATAACACTTACTGAATGATTAATTTGGCATTTATTTACCTGGCTATTTTATTCAGTGTTTAGGATTTATACTAGATTGTAAGCTCCTCAAGAGTGTTCCAGGTCTAGTTTAGGTCACCATGTATCCCTGATTAGTACCACACATCCCAGTGCACCATGGTTCTCAACAAATAACATGTTATATAAATCAATAAATGACAGGAATAAAGATGTTTTTCAATTTGTATTACAATGTTTTCTACTATCTGGCAGAATCTTAGTAGGATTTAATAGAAATCAGGCAATGTCTACTCCTTAACCTGACTTTGAGAGAGAAACACTGATTTTTAAGAATCACTCCCAATTCTGACTTTTTCTCATCATTATGTGGGTGAGGTAGAGATATTTCTGAGGCTTTTTTGTTCAGGAACTTGTCTCCTTGGACATTTTCACTAGGTCAGCACTAGATCATTGCTACATGAAGTATGGTCTATTGACCAGCAACATCAGTGTCAGCTGGAGACTTTTAGAAATGCAGAATCTCCATTCTAACTGGTGTGAGATGATAGCTCATTGTGGTTTTGATTTGCATTTCTCTAATGACCAGTGACGATGAGCTTTTTTTCATGTTTGTTGGCTGCATAAATGTCTTCTTTGAGAAGTGTCCATTCGCATCCTTTGCCCACTTTTTGATGGGGTTGTTTGTTTTTTCCTTGTAAATCTGTTTAAGTTTTTTGTAGATTCTGGATATTAGTCCTTTGTCAGATGGATAGATTGCAAAAATTTTCTCCCATTCTGTAGGTTGCCTGTTCACTCTGATGATAGTTTCTTTTGCTGTGCAGAAGCTCTTTAGTTTAATAAGATCCCATTTGTCTATTTTGATTTCTGTTGCCATTGCTTTTGGTGTTTTAGTCATGAAGTCTTTGCCCATGCCAATGTCCTGAATGGCATCGCCTAGGTTTTCTTTTAGGGTTTGTATGGGCTTAGGTCTTACACTTAAGTTTTTAATCTATCTTGAGTTAATTTTTGTGTAAGATGTAAGGAAGGGATCCAGTTTCAGCTTTCTGCATATGTGATCACTAAAAAGTCAGAAAACAACAGATGCTGGAGAGGATGTGGAGAAATAGGAATGCTTTTACACTGTTGGTGGGAGTGTAAATTAGTTCCACCATTGTGGAAGACAGTGTGGTGATTCCTCAAGGATCTAGAACTAGAAATACCATTTGACCCAGTGATCCCATTACTGGATATACACCCAAAGGATTATACATCATTCTACTATAAAGACACATGCACAAGTATGTTTATTGCAGCACTGTTCAAAATAGCAAAGACTTGGAACTAAACCAAATGCCCATCAATGATAGACTGAATACAGAAAATGTGGCACATATACACCATGGAATACTATGCAGCCATAAAAAAGGATGAGTTCATGTCCTTTTCAGGGACATAGATGAGGCTGGAAACCATCATTCTCAGCAAACTAACACAAGAACAAAAAACCAAACACCGCATGTTGGCTCACTCATCAGTGGGAGTTGAACAATGAGAACACATGGACACATGGAGGGCAACATTGCACACTGGGGGCTTTTCAGGGGTGGGGGGCTAGGGGAGGGATAGCATTGGGAGAAATACCTAATGTAGATGATTGGTTGATGGGTGCAGCAAATCACCATGGCACGTGTATACCTATGCAACAAACCTGCACGTTCTGCACATGTATCCCAGAACCTAAAGTATATATATCTATAAAAAGAAATGCAGAATCTCATGCCCCTCTGACTCAATAAGCATTTTAAAAAGTCTATCAGTATTTTGCATCACTTTGTTCCTCCAAGCCTTGGCCCAACACCTAGCACATAAGATGAAGTTTTGGGTGATGAATGAATATGCTAAAAAATAAGAGTGAAGGAATATATGAAAGGAGGGAAAGAACACCATGGGAAATTGAAAATATATCATACTATGATATTTGAGTATTAGATCCTGACAGTTTAGTTTCAACACTTTTGGTTTTGTATGATATGAGGAAATAGTGTTCACTTTGTCAGTATTAAGCTCATAGGTGTTAAAGCAAACTAAATATGGCCTGAGAAGGACTTGTACTTCCATATTTGAATCCTTGTGGATGAACCGTAACCTAGCTTAATAGGCAGACAAAATTGAAAACCTAACTTACGAGTATGCACCTGCAACAAATAGCTAAGTCTTAGCCAATCTCAGTGGCCATACTTCAATCATTAATACACTGATGAGGCAAATGCCAATCTGTAACCAATGCAGCTGTTCCTGTAACTCACTGCTGATTTCTGTATGTCATTTCCCTTTTGTTTGTCTATAAATTTACCACCACATGGCTGTGCTGGAGCCTCTGTGAATCTGCTGTGATTCTGGGGGCTGCCTGATTTGTGAATCATTCATTGCTCAATTCAACTCCTTTAAATTTAATTCAGCTGAAGTTTTTTCTTTTATCATATGTCTGGAAAAATCCTATAAGAGTAATGTAAACAGCATTTGGTTTCCAGGGTGGGATGCAGTTCCAGGAGAAAGGATACCATTCATTTCTTCTGAACGCCTTCAAGAGACATGTGAATGATAAATGTGCCTGATAACATCTCAGGCACGTTTGTGTTATGAGAGGAAACTAAGGAAAATCTGAAAGTTTCTTGGGTGTATAAATAGAGATGGCTGGAAGAAGATGGGGGAAAGTGAAAGCCATAACTGTTGAGAAAATTAAGCTTGTTGAAATATGCAAATTGGGTCTCGGCTCCATACACGGTGCTGATAGTTAGGACACTGAGACTGTCTCAAGAAGACAACCTTAAAGGCCTGAGAATCCAGTCTGTTTCCCTCTTCTAGGGCACCTCCTTCCCAGAAATGACACCATTAACACTTTTTAGCACTTATGTAAAGGTCTGGATCATTTGAAGTTACATGCCACTGTAGGACATTTTCTCTCTGAGTTGTTGGTAGACATTTATACTGTAGAGAAAATTTTGCACAATTTAAGTAACTATTTAGAAAATGAAACAAAAAATGGACAAATATGAAAAATATAGAAAAATTATTAATGGCACAGTTCATTTACATCAAATTGTTACTAATACTTTGCTGCATTACTCCTATTTTTTCTACTTCGAATCATATTATGACTAATTTTGAATTCTACTTTTTATTCTATTTTTATCACTTTAATAGCCTATCTTAAGTCTTTACCCATATTTTGGGATAATCTTTAAAAATATTTACTTTAATACGGGGAAGCATTCTATCATGTACACATACTACAGTTCTTAACAATAATCTACTGGTGGATGTTTCATTTATTTACATATTCCATTCATTCTCCAGGGCTTATTTTTCAATGAGGAAGCTTGAAGAATTGAGATAGATAAGAGGAAATGTAAACGTACAAAGTAGAGTATGTCTGAGGGAGGAGTACGAAACCAAGAAGCTGAAACTCTTGTCACACTTTATTTATGTGATGATTTTAGAGCATTGGTCCTATTGGAAGGACACTGGCAGGGTCCCTAAAACAGCACATGCTGCACTGAAGAGAACCTTGTTTCTTAAATGAGCTCTAGGCAACAAGTACATTTCCTTAGAACATTTATAGAAAATATGAGATACAACGAATGTCTTCGTGTACCTATGTATTGTTTTTATCTTTAACGATTAGGTATGCCTATCACGCAATGTTTTTTACAGATTTTGCTGTCAAAGGCTCCTCAGTGGCTGCTTCAGCCAGCAGCTAGGACTTCAGGTCAAAGTCCTGTTATGCTGATGCAGCTTCATTTCCTGAAGCAAGATCACTCCCACTTCACTCTGATGGGAGAGTCTTCTTTCTTTACAACTATTAAGCTAAGATTTTTGAGTTAACATTTTAAAAATATATTTTTCCTTTTATTTTTAGTTGACATGTAATAATTATGTTTATGAGATATAGAGTACTAGTCCAATACACATAGACAATATGGGGTGATCAAATCAAGGTAATTAGCACATCGCCTCATGCATTTAGCACTTCTTTGTCTTGTGAACATTCAAAATCCTCTCTTCTAGCTTTGTAAAAATACACAATAAATTATAGTTAACTATATTCACCTTACAGTACTACAGAAACATTTAAAACATTATTTCTTGAGATCTTGGTTCTTTAGGTGACTGTTGTGGTGGTGATTAATCAGTATCATGAAAATACTTATGTTGTCTATCATGGTATTTCAGAAGACTACAGTTATAGAGCTGGGTGCATACAATTACCAACCACAATGATATGCATTTACATATTTCACCTTTTGACCTATTTCTTCATGAATATAGTTCATCTGTTTATAACTCTTATACTTGTGTGACTGTTGATAGAAGGCCTGAATGTTTATGCTTGCAAAAATGTATGTTATCGCTTATTTTATTGTGTAAGGTGATCTTTGAAGTGTTCTGCTGTGTTTTTATTTTTGTGTTTTTATATGTTACTCAAATAAATACCTTTTAAAAATGTAAATAAATATATCTTAAAGAATTTTTAAAATTATTTTTTCCAGAATTAAATTTTCAGGATTTCAGTCTTTTGGGATGGCGATTTTTGGAATTTTAGACTTTAAGGATTTTGTTCTTTTGATTTTCAACATTCGATTATGGTGTTTGGAACTGTGTCTTTCAAGATTGTGATTGATTCCAAATGCAACACAGGGTTAAAGGAAAGTGGAAAAGACATGAAAAAAATCTGAGCTGTGCCTTATCTGAAGCTGTTGTGTGAGAATTATAGAAACATGTAGAGAGTAGACATCTAAAGTTAGGTTTCTGTCTGCTGGAATACATGAGTCAACCTCATCTTCCTTGGTCTCCCATTTGAGAAAGTGTTCAGCAAAGAGGAACACAGTGGCGCTCACATCCAAAATTTCTTAGAAGGCCTTTAAAAGGGTCAGTGTTGGAAGGTAACATTATCAAGTATAGCAGTTATTTGGAGCCCACCCAATAACCATATTGTGGTTACAAGCGGATGTAAAGGGCACTGCAGTCTTTCCTGATTTAGGAAGCACCGATTACACCTGACTCTTTAGGAGAGTATGTAGCAGACACATTTTGAGCCATGGCTATCATACCCTGGACAGCTCCTCTTGGAGGAGTGGTGACTAAGAGCACGCTGTGTGTACACTCAGTCTTCACTGCTGACCTCCAGTCTCCACCTGCTTCATTTTTAAATAAATGTGCCAAGGTTTATTTTTGACCCTTCTGGATCATCCAACATTTCCAAGTGGACTCATCTAGGGATAACAGTGAGAAAGTTTTGGGAAGATCTCAAAAAGTGTTTCTTAACTGAGATCTTAATTGGTTCAGCCTTTAGGGAAAAAGGGAAAGATGATGAGGCCTGGGTCTAATCTGAATAATCAGTTGACCTTAAGCCTGAATCAGAATATCAAATATAATTGGAAGCCTTGATATATGTTTTTATACTAACATAGCTATGTTTTCCCACAAAATAGATGATACTGGATTTAGGACTGAAAATGTAAGAACAAGGGGTTCTATGAAGTCCAAGGATATAAAGACAGAAGTCAGTTATGGCAAAGAATTTACAAAATGCTTCAAAGGCTTATCTATCTCTTCCCTTCTTTCTACAATTCTGCACATGTGCCAGCCCCAAGGGTTCTGTACTTATGTTGAGATTTTTGGATCAATATCTGTTTTAGTGGTACTTAACTTTAAACTATTTGCCCACTTGTTTCATGAATTTGTCATTTTAGTTTCACTTAAGAAGTACATTGTCAAGCTATAGTGAATTTGGCGAAGAACAACTAGAGGGGACTTAGAAGTACGGAAAATGAGTAACAGTAGAAGGAATTGGGATATTTAAATTGGAGAACAAAAAGTTTTATTGAAACAAATGAAGGGTAATTATTTAATAAAGCAATTGAATTTGTCCCATTTAATCTCTAAAGTACAGAATTACTATAATTCTATAGGGTGACACATTTTAATTCATCATGGAGACTTACTTTTTAACAGAGAAATATATGCAATGATGGAACGAGCTGAAGAACAATACTTTCTATCAGTTGCTTTTGTCAGATATAGGTTGGGAAAGTGGGAGAGGGTATCTAAGCATCAGATGCAAATTTCTTTCAATCTTGAAATTCCATGATACGATCTAAGATATTTCAAGAAAAAAACCATTCAGGTTGATTTCAACAACATAAAAAACTGTAATGGAAAATATTAAGGCTAATTAGAACGTGAAGTTTTATTAACATTGATAACAATAATAATATTTTCTAAGGAACACTAGTTGACAGCAGACAAAAGGAGGGGGGATGAAATACTGGACTTGTGGTCAGCAAAGTCCCAGGGTTATGCCACAGGACTACAAGTACTCCAACTCTATTAAGGAATAAATTGCTAATTTTTTTTTTTTTTTCCCTGAAGCAATGTGTGTGGAAGTCTTTCACTTTCTGAGCCAAAACTTGAGGAGCTGACCCTGAGGTGGCAGTTTTCCTGGGGGAGCTGCTTAGATAGCTTTTCATGCAGGGATAGTCCCTCAATGCATTACCTTTCAGAGGCTATGGCATCAGGCCTCTATCCAGAAGGGGAGGAGGACTAGAGAGCGCTCGGGGGAGAGGGCGATAAGAGAGAGATTTGCTTGTCTAGGTGATGTTGCTGAGTAGCCCAGTGTGGACTCTGTGTCAGAGAGCTCCAAAGTACAGCAGCAACTTGGGGTCTTTACAGCCCCAGAATTTATCTTATCTATGGCATTTGAGTTAACAGGATTCAGCTTACTGTAAAGAAGTAAACACCCTAGGGGGCTATATAAAGAAGCCCTCTTTGGCCCATTTGTCTAACAGATGGTCTCTGAAATTGTTTGCAGTGACTTTTTACCTTTTTTTTTTTTGCTGTGTTTTTCCAGATTTAGACATTTATACTTTCTCTCAAGCTCATGTCATGCCAACAAAAAGTAGAGAATTAAACTAATTAGTCTACACTAAGGTTTCCATTTACAAAAGAGAATTTATTTTAATATTATGAAAACAACATGTGCTTATTTTAGAAAAAAATAATAACACAGGAAAGTATAGGAAGTTTAAATCATCCACAATACCATTTCTAAGACCATTTCTAGCCTCCTCTGTTTCTCTGTATTTCGTATATTAGATATCTATGTAATTATTTTCAAAATTGGAATCGTAGTGCATGCAGTTTTGTTAATACTTTTGTTTAATATATCATGTGTCTTTCCCCATAGCACTATGTGTTCTTTGAAACATGATTCTTAATGAGAACATTATAGTCCATTTTTATCAATGTACTTTATCCTTCTGTTTGGGGGCACTTATAATTTTATGCAAAATCTCTGTAAATTTGTGAAAATATTCTCAGAAATAGATAACGTGTGTATTTTTAAGATGTTTACCTCGTTTTTGCCCATTTAACTCCGTAGCAAGGTAAGCTGTCATCAGTTGGAGGTAAGCGGAAGACAGTAGAGAGTACAGAGCCCTGGACTGTGACTCAGAGGATGAGCACCAGATCCAGTTTGCTGTGCCACAGTGGTAAGTCACCTAATCTTTATGTGCTTGGATTCCTCATATGTAATACAGGATCACAACTATTGTTCTCACTCATGCAATACTACTATTGTGAGAACCTCATGAATTAGAGAAACTCTGAATTTGCAATTTAGCTTTAGAACACTGACAAGTAGCTCATTGATTCTTGCCTCATTCCTCTGGAATAAAGTAGCTTTTTATCAAACAAGTGAACACATTGCTTTCAGTGGAGGCAGAAGGAATTCATTTTGAAAAATGCACATAGCATTCTCCAACCCATTTTTGCATATTCTTTTTTAAGGGAATGCCTTGTGTGAGAGGACTAGCAGGGTATCAGAACTGTTTTTTGAAAGAACTTTGTTTGCAGGTGCTTTCAAATATGTTGTCTTCAACTATCATTTTCAGTGTAAAAAGCGGGCTTGGAGTAAGCACTGCCTGCAGACCACTTTTGTGAGCCCTCCCTTCAGTGATGTGATGGCAATCCAGGCCCCTGCTGGGAGAGATTTCTGCCTGGTTAAACCTCTCACAGCTTCTAATCCTCTCTTTCTCATCTGGCTTTCCTTAGCCTTCTCCAAAGTCACTCACAGAAGGCATCCCACTCAACCTCACCTTGGGGTAAATCAAAATAGTCCTCCTTCTGAAGCTACCGGGTAAAGCGGTGGTAGCTGTGCAGCTGCTGCTGATCAACAGGCTCCAGAAACAGCAGCAGGAGGTGAGCAGTCCCTGCGTTGGCCACCAAGTGGTAGGTGGCCAGCCCTACCTCCAAGTTGCACTGTTTACTTATTCATCTTTCATGGTAAAGCCTCCAGTTGCCTATTATGAAATCAGCAATAATCATGTGTCCCCTATCTGGGTCCCTGAAAAGATGGAAAGAGGCAGATCAGGCTGGTGCTCTGAGAATGACAGACATCAAACAAGAATGAAAAGTGTCACCCTCCTTGGACTTATTCAGTAACTCATGCCCTTGAGCAAAGGAGGATTTTCTATCAAAGGACATGGATTTCTGTGTCTTTCTCTTGAGATAACATTGCTGGGTGACCACAGAAAGCTGGCTCTGGAAGCACAGAAGCTGCCTTTCCTTGAGTAATAATGTCTCTTCAAAGGGAGCTGGAGCATGAGTAGTGTACATGCCTCAGATTTCAGTGAAAAGTTCAGAGGAGGCCTGAGAAGGTCCTGGGAATGAATCATCTAGATGACTCAACCTTGCAAAGCCATCCACCTCATTGTGGATATCATTCAATACATTTGGTGCTCCATCATCCTATTTCCATGGCTATTTCCTCACATTTTTCAAAGTCTGTTTCTTGAGCCCTGACTGTGTCAAATAGCATGCCCTGTTATTCTTGGGCTTCCCTCTCTATTCTAGCATTCAGGGAGATTTCAGAGGCTGGGGTAAATCTCAGACCAAGAAGACGCAACGGTTTTGAGGTAGAGATCCTAGGAATATAGAATTCTGAGCTATGCAGTGGTCCTTTGCTTTCAGGAAATCAAGTTTGATAGTATCACCTGAAGCATACTTACATTATCCACAAATGACAGCTCCTTACTTGAGCAGTTAAATTGTGGCAAGTCTTAACACACAGATTCCTCTTAAATGCCACCTAATCCCTGCCTGGCTTCAAGCCTCTGGCTTCCCTTGGAGAGGGGCAGAGTCTCTCTGTGTGAGAGATTCTTCATTTCTGCTTTCTGCCCTGTCAGTTTCTACTTACTTGCTCTTCCACCTTGTCCACAAGGCTTATCTAGCGGCTGTTTACCTCTGAGCAGAGAAAATGGAAGTCAGCAGAGACAAGGTTGAACTTTCTCAGGAAGGATTTTTTTTTTCCACTTTATCGTGCAGCAAGAGTAAAGCCTTTTTTTCGGTGATTCTTTCCTCCACAATGGCCATTGGCTGCCCTCTGTCACACACAGGTGTGACTCCCTTGTTATTAACTGTCAGGTGGGAATTTCTAGGGAAGAAGGAGAGTGCTTTGTTAACCTCTTAACATCTCCCCAAATTGCATCATATTCTCTCCCTTTCCCCTCCCAGCTACCTTTTCTATTTTTGATTTCCTCTTTTTCAGTCTGATTTGGGGATTTCAGTTCCCACTAACTTTGTATAATATCCTCCTATCTCTGAAAGAACAAGTTCCATCTCCATTTTCCAGGAGAGTTTTTTTCCTTGCAGTAAGAGCACCCCATCATCTCTCCATTTCTACCTCCCCATCCCAGTGCTCCCTTTATGGCAGTACAATTGAAGAGGGACCCACAGTCTTGCTGAAGGAACATGACCTTCCTACTGAAGTTGGGATTACGGAATAGAGGGAGAAGAGGAAAGATGGATGTTTATCTGAATGGTCGGATCTTGTTTTCCAGAGGACACAGGCCAGTGGGAAACTTTTGGGAAGGAAGTCAAAAAATCAAAGCCAGAACTGGGTTTTGGTAATTTAATCTCCCAAAGAGAGAAAAGTCCCCATACTCTAATTCATATTTTGTTTGACTTGACTGAAGCCCTTTTGAATATTTTTTCTGCTTCTGTTCTGTTCTTGCAATAACAATGACATAAGTTTGCCTTTGGAGACATTAAAATAGTTTTCTCATCTCTTGTTCCAAGCATTTATTTTATTTTTTTGGTGTATTTATTTATTTATTTATTTATTATTACAGTACTTTTAAGTTTTAGGGTACATGTGCACAATGTGCAGGTTAGTTACATATGTATACATGTGCCATGCTGGTGCGCTGCACCCACTAACTCATCATCTAGCATTAGGTATATCTCCCAATGCTATCCCTCCCCGCTCCCCCAACCCACAACAGTCCCCCAAGTGTGATGTTCCCCTTCCTGTGTCCATTTGTTCTCATTGTTCTCACCTATGAGTGAAAATATGTGGTGTTTGGTTTTTTGTTCTTGCAATAGTTTACTGAGAATGATGATTTCCAATTTCATCCATGTTCCTACAAAGGACATCAAGTCATCATTTTTTATGGCTGCATAGTATTCCATGGTGTATATGTGCCATATTTTCTTAATCCAGTCTATCATTGTTGGACATTTGGGTTGGTTCCAAGTCTTTGCTATTGTGAATAATGCCGCAATAAACATACGTGTGTGTGTGTCTTTATAGCAGCATGATTTATAGTCCTTTGGGTATATACCCGGTAATGGGATGGCGGGTCAAATGGTATTTCTAGTTCTAGATCCCTGAGGAATCGCCACACTGACTTCCACAATGGTTGAACTAGTTTACAGTCCCACCAACAGTGTAAAAGTGTTCCTATTTCTCCATATCCTCTCCAGCACCTGTTGTTTCCTGACTTTTTAATGATTGCCATTCTAACTGGTATGAGATGGTATCTCATTGTGGTTTTGATTTGCATTTCTCTGATGGCCAGTGATGGTGAGCATTTTTTCATGTGTTTTTTGGCTGCATAAATGTCTTCTTTTGAGAAGTGTCTATTCATGTCCTTCGCCCACTTTTTGATGGGGTTGTTAGTTTTTTTCTTGTAAATTTGTTTGAGTTCATTGTAGATTCTGGATATTAGCCCTTTGTCAGATGAGTAGGTTGTGAAAATTTTCTCCCATTTTGTATGTTGCCTGTTCACTCTGATGGTAGTTTCTTTTGCTGTGCAGAAGCTCTTTAGTTTAATTAGATCCCATTTGTCAATTTTGTCTTTTGTTGCCATTGCTTTTGGTGTTTTAGACATGAAGTCCTTGCCCATGCCTATGTCCTGAATGGTAATGCCTAGGTTTTCTTCTAGGGTTTTTATGGTTTTAGGTCTAACGTTTAAGTCTTTAATGCATCTTGAATTGATTTTTGTATAAGGTGTAAGGAAGGGATCCAGTTTCAGCTTTCTACATATGGCTAGCCAGTTTTCCCAGCACCATTCCAAGCATTTATTTTTCAAGCACCGTATGTGGGCCTTTTGTTCTGTGGAGAATAGGGGAAATAAATTTAAATTTATTTTTTTCCATAGACATTTGCAAGAGTTTTTGTAGTGTCTTTTTTTTTTTTTTGGCTTATCAACATTTTTGTTTTTTAAAAACTTTTCTATCCACCAACTCTGTCTCTTTTGCAGTTCATTTGGGTATAAAGTTTTGCTTAAGAGGTGTATCAACCTCCTAGAGTGAGGCTTTTGAGAAGAGGGGCTACTTCTAAACTTCTATCACTTATGTCCATTTTCTTAATTTTATACCCAATACATGTGTGGCAAAGTTTGTTAGCTACATATTTAACACCCAATTTTATTATCTTCCTAACTAATACAACCTCAATTTTATTCAATTTGAGAATGTGCCCAGTTTAAAAAATTAGATGTTGCAGTCTCTTCTGTTTATGGTGATTATCATTTGACATGCTTATGTTCCGATATATAAACGGAATATAGTTTTGCCGCTGTCTGACACTTCAGCAGCCATCTTCAGGTAATAAGGTGAACTTAAGGAAAGAAACACATACTACAAAAGATTTGTCAAAAAGGCAGGGAAGCCTAGGTCCCTGATGATATCTTGGCACTGCCCACCTCTGGACTGCAGTGGACTGACTATCTTTAGAAGCACGCATGAGAGAAGAAAACTAAACCTTTATGTTGCATAAATTACTGTAGCTTGAGTTTCTATTATATGCAGCTGAATCTAAGTCTACTATGTGCAGCAAATTTGAGTCCCTGGATAGATCTTGAGTTTCCAACACTTAAGTAAAATGTGGAGTAATTGAATTACTTAATAAAAAGTAATAATTATTTATTCCAACCATAGATACTTTGCTTCTTTGGCCATAGTTGAATTATTATCTTTTAAAAATGGTTCTGTTTTTATTAAGATGACTAGTAGTATATACTTTTGATAGATAAATGGCTTATGTTCTTTAAAAGAGATGAGTGCCCAGTTTGCTCATAATAAAAACTCAGAAGAGATAAACGTTTAAAATATGTTCTTATAATAAACACAGATAAATAAAAGGTAGGTATCCATGGTGTACATGTGCCACATTTTCTTAATCCAGTCTATCATTATTGGCCATTTGGGTTGGTTCCAAGTCTTTGCTATTGTGAATAGTGCTGCAGTAAACATACATGTGCATGTGTCTTTATAGCAGCATGATTTATAATCCTTTGAGTATATACCCAGTAATGCGATGGCTGGGTCAAATGGTAATTCTAGTTCTAGATCCCTGAGGAATCGCCACACTGACTTCTACAATGATTCAACTAGTTTACAGTCCCACCAACAGTGTAAAAGTGTTCCCATTTCTCCACATCCTCTCCAGCACCTGTTGTTTCCTGACTTTTTAATGATCGCCATTCTAACTGGTGTGAGATGGTATCTCATTGTGGTTTTGATTTGCATTTCTCTGATGGCCAGTGATGATGAGCATGTTTTCATGTTTCTTTTGGCTGCATAAATGTCTTCTTTTGAGAAGTGTCTGTTCATATCCTTTGCCCACTTTTTGATGGGGTTGTTAGTTTTTTTCTTGTAAATTTGTTTGAGTTCATGTGGCACATATACACCATGGAATACTATGCAGCCATAAAAAATGATGAGTTCATGTCCTTTGTAGAGACATGGATGAAGCTGGAAACCATCATTCTCAGCAAACTATCGCAAGGACAAAAAACCAAACACCGCATGTTCTCACTCATAGGTGGGAATTGAACAATGAGAACACATGGACACAGGAAGGGGAACATCACACACCGGGGCCTGTTGTGGGGTGGGGGGAGGGGGGAGGGATAGCATTAGGAGATATACCTAATGCTAAATGACAAGTTAATGGGTGCAGCACACCAACATGGCACATGTATACATATGGAACACACCTGCAGGTTGTGCACATGTACCCTAAAACAAAGTATAATAAAAAAAAAAGGTAGGTATCAAAAACATAACAATTCAAACCCTCTTTTAATTAAAGTTGGTTCTTGTATTAGTAGTAAGCAGGGAGCTTGGGGGGAGAGATGTGTACAAGTGTAGATGGGAGGTTCCCAGGTAAAGTTCTTGATTGGGAAGGTTCATTTGATTGTATGACATGTTCCTCCATTCTCTCTGTCTCTGTCTCTGTCTTTTGTTTTTGTTGTTGTTGTTGCTCTAAGCATCTAGAATGAAAACCACAAGGCCAGGGTTTGCTATCAAGGACCACTCTTTCCTTTGCAGAAAAAGCTGGTTCTGAGTGAAATAGAAGGACTAGGGTGCCAAATTAACTCCTCTCCACAAAGTGACCCCACATGGAAAAGTACTTGAGAAGCTCTGTAAAGACATGGTAAAAGCTTACCAAAGACAGTAGCATTATCCTTTCCCTTACACACAAAGTGGAGGGGAAGTGTGGGTAAGTGGTGTGTCTAAAAGCATTGCTTTAAATTATGCATCCATTTGTAAACACTAATTTTTTGTTACTCCATGTTGTTTGTAAATTGATCAAAAAATGCATATTTGTCATGGAAAAATTAGGAAATAAAGATATTAGCATAAAAAAGGAAACAACGAATCTTAATTACCCATAATCCCATGACTTCATGTTTGTGTAAGATTATATAATACTATTGTTTCATGATCTGCCATTTTCACTCAGTGACATATTTTGCACGTGAAATACGTTTTACATAAATATTTGTATAATTTGACTAGTTATTACCTTAAAACTACTGGAAAGAAATCCCTTAGTTCTTCTACTTCACTCATTTCTTCTCTACAGTATTCATTTCTGGGGTAAATCCAGCTCTTTGGCTTGCATGGCCATGTAGTTCTGAAGTTAGCTACACAGGACTTAGCCACATTTCCCAGAATAGGATGTATGGTACAGCAGAATTCTTACTGAACTTGAAGTCAGAAGAACTGGTTCCTTCACTTACTATGGGTGACCTTGGACAGTATACTTGATTTCTTTGAATCTCATCAGTGAAATGAGTATGGGAATGTCTACCTTAACTGTGTGATGACAGAATTTGTGAGGATGAACTGAACAACTATATAAAAGTGTTTGGGAAATGCTGAAGAGCCCTACAAATGAAAGACATTAATAATATTAACTGAAATAGATTCCATAAATACTATGTGTAAGATCCTACCTTGATTTACCGCATTTAATCATCAAATCCACTGTCTGACAAAAGTATTATCATTAGTTCTATTTTATAGTCTAAACAAATCTAGGCAGAAAGGTCAAATAATTTGCATAAGCTCACACAATCAGTGACTTAGATTTGATCCAATCTATTTCATTCGATAGTGTTGGTCTTTTCCCCTAATAGTAGTAAAAACTGTGGGCTCCATTGTTAGCCTGCCTGAGATCAGATGCCATCTCCAACTAGGCAAGTTACCTTTTCTGCCTGTTTCACTCTTCAAAAATTAGAGATACAATAATACCAACCCAATTTCTTTGGGTTTCATAAGTAGGAAATAAAATAATACATAGAAAAGACTTGGAACATTGCCTGACACAAAATAGGTGTCTTAAAACGTTAATTATTATTATTTTCAATGTTGCCAAGACAGCGAACCCTGTGGTGGTGAATTTGCATGTGAAAACCTGTTAAACTGATACACACTCTTTCTTTTCTCCTAATATTGTCGCACTTGCACCTTATGTCCTAAGTTTTCTAGTAATCTTGAATGTACATAATGTTTAGTTGTGAAATAAATTTTGCTTTGTGAGGGAATTAGTTGTAATTGAGGGTAGAATCAAAGTTTGTTCAGCGAATTCCATCTATTCAGTTGTAAAGGCAGCGAATAAACACCATGACTTGTATTTGAAAGTAGAAAATACCGACTTTCAATTGTCATTTCCCCCGAGGAAACCATTAACCAGCACAATTGTTTTTAAATATCAACCTGAAATAACACTGTATTTTTACTGCTATTCTTTCTCTCTCCTTCTCTCTCTTTGGGATACAGTTTGGCTTTGAAAAAATATGGTATATATGCGGTGTTTGGTCAAATAATTTAGCACTATGGAAAAGGTTGTGAACCAGTCATAGTATTTGAGGTTGTAAGAAGAAACCTTTGAAAAGGTAGTGGCTGCACAAATGTATTAACTTAGTACCACAAAGTAGGGAGTTCCGAAACTGTGGTGGAAATATTGCCTGCCTTGACTACCTGTTCTTCCTGAGTCCATTTGCTGATCAGAACTCAGGTAACTTAAAAGTCATATACCCTGGAAAGGAGTATGGAAACAGGAAAGATCCTCAGCGGCTATACAAGTGAGAGATATGGCAGAGTTCTAATAAGATTGACTAAAAGCTTGATACTGTCTTACATCAAAGGAGCAAATAATTGTTCTACCTGGAATGTCCAGGCCCCAATTCACAAATGCATTCCTACCTTTTGAACTGAATAATGATCTCTTTCCCAATAAACTGTTATAAGACAAAAAATCTGAAAGGAAAATTGTTGCACATACATCATATTCTTATATTCTGTATTTTCTGGGACAGTCTGTTTCAGATTAGATGATGA